>NT_187669.1:0-170665 GCF_000001405.40 Homo sapiens | reverse complement strand
GAATTCCCCATGAGTCCTGTGACCTCAGCCCACACGGGGACCTACAGGTGCTACGGCTCACTCAGCTCCGACCCCTACCTGCTGTCTCACCCCAGTGGCCCCGTGGAGCTCGTGGTCTCAGGTGAGGGCGCTGACCCTGTCCTCTCTGAGCTCAAAGGCTCAGCTCAGGCCCTGCCCCCAGCAGAGCTCTGGACACTAAGGAAAGAGGGGAGTGAAGGGAGAGGGTCCGCAGGGGAGGGTCCAGCCCATGGGAAGATGGAAATAGACAGGGACCTCCCACCCCTGGCTCCCACCCCTGAAGTCTCAGTAGAGTAAAGTGCAGGGAGGGCTGGGAGGAGACGGGGGGTGAACCTCAAAGGAGTTGAGATTAGACTGAGGGTGGAAGACGGAGGCCCCACCTGCTCCCATCCTGGTGTCTCCACCTCAGAATCAGAGCCTCTGTGTCCCAGTCCCCAACAGACGCCCTCCTGGAGAGAGAAGCATCCAGGCTGCCGGTGCCACCTGCATCCACCCCCGACCCCCCCCCACCCCGCCCCACTTCCTGCTTTCCCCTGCAGCCTCCCCAGCACTCAGCGCACACCTGAGCCTCACAGGGACTTGCACGTGCTCCCGCAGCAGCTCAGGGAATGTGCACCGCTCCTCTTCTGCGCCGTTGACATTTTTTATTTGGGTTTTTAAAATCTCATATTGGCCTTTTTGTCCAAGCTGGTGAAAGTAGATTTGCAGCATCACCTATTTTTATTCTCACCCGGTTTCGTAATAGCCCTGATCTCACGTGCTCCCTGAGGTTTTGTAAACTTCAGGTAGAAATGTGGACTTCCTTCGTTCTGGACATTTGCTATGGAGGGGGTAGGGCTTATCTTTTCAGAAAAAGTCAAATGACTGGTACCACTCCTTGAAACCCTACAGCACTTTCCAGACCTCAGAGGGAGGGAGAGAGAGGCAGAGACAGAGACAGAGAGACAGAGAGAGAGATATTGGGGCCGCTCTTTCCTGGCCGGTTCATCCTGGCCTATTCTCAATCCACCAAGGCCCCGAAGCTCATCTCCCCTCCTCCTCTGCCTCCTCCTCCACCCTGTAGACAAGCGGCCATTCCTTTCTGAAGAACAGGCTGAGACCTTTCTGGGACCTGCTCTTTCTGGAGCCTCTGTTGCTCCCTGTCTGGGTCTCCACACGCCTCCTTCCTGGCCCTTTTTCCTATTGAGGAATCAGCTTCAATGTCACCTCCAAGTGTGACCTTCACTGACGACACAGCTCAGCCCAGTCCTGCCTGCTTCTCATTTATGTCAAGTAATTAACCAACCTACACCATGCGGCTGAATTCCTTCTCTCTCTCTTCCACTCTCTGCATATACGTGTGTGTGTGTGTGTGCGCGTGTGTGGTCACACCAACATCTTACGTGACATTGAAACCTAGTTATCCGTATATCTATACAAATAATATATATTCACACATAAATATAGGTCTCTACCAATATATCTAAAACCATTGCTACGACTAGTAAATTTCCACTGCTGTGTTTCTATATGTTTGCTGTTTGTCTCCAGGTGAACCCACACTTCAAGAAGGCAGAGATAGTTTTTAAGGCCCACTATATATATAAAACAGATATATATTTGTGTTTGTGTTTTTCTGTGTGTGTATCACATTCTACCTGTTGCTGCCTATACGAATAATTAGCTACCTAGAGATTAAATGGACAATGAAACTCCAGGTGAAGTGGCTGAGGGCATGAAGGGGAGGCAGCCCCAGAATTTCACCCCTTTGTGCTTCTGACATTGAGGCTCCCCTGATGACTAACCCTCATCCACGGAGCCTGGGTCCTCAGCTGGTGGATCCGTGAAACTCTCATCTCCGGGGGAGTTGGCTCATGTTCTCCTGTGTCCCAGGCTGCACAGAGAGCACACAGGCCTTAGTGACCTCTGTACTGGGGACCACTTTCCTTGCAGATCCTGAGCTCTCAGGATGCAGGAAAACTCTCTCCCAGATGACTCAGGAGCAATGTTTAAATCCATAGAACACAGGAAAACTGAAATCGTTCAATGAGGAGACTAGAGGGAATCCTGCTAGCGGAGGAAGAGGTTTTTTTTTTTTTTTTTTAGAAATTCTGTAAAAGTCACATCATGAGACATTAAGTAATAAAAAAAAAATTGCAGAGCCCAGGTGAGAGGCTGGGCTCAGGTCTCTTTTTCTCTGTTTTGATTCTCTGGAGCAGCTGATACCCTCAGCCCATCACAAAACAAGTCTGACTCTGAGACTGGTATGTGAGGAGATACTCTCAGTGATGGGGCTGGCACTGAGGGTTGGGTCCTGTGAAGGGGAGGTGGGTGCCCTGGGTGGACAATCTGATCCACCCTGACCTCTGTGACCTCTTTGTCCACCATCCCCAGCCTCACACCTTCAGGATTACGCAGTGGAGAATCTCATCCACATGGGCGTGGCTGGCTTGATCCTGGTGGTCCTCGGGATTCTGTCATTTGAGGCTTGGCACAGCCAGAGAAGCTTCCCAAGATGCAGCCGGGAGGTGAACAGCAGAGAGGATAATGTACTTTATAGAGTCGTGAAGCCTCAGGAACAGATCTGATGATCCCAGGAGGTTCTGGAAGAAAATCTAGGGCCGATGCTATCTGGACTGTCTGCTGGTCATTTCCAGAGGAAGGAATCAATGTCCGAGTGCAGGGACATTTTCTGGGGTGATCCATGGAGAACCATTAAAATGTGATACCTTTCCTCTCCATTAATGTTGACTTTCCTTGGTTGGATCTGCCTCTTTTCCCACACTTAGACATGAGGCTCCATCCCACATGGCAGCGTTGGGTCCACACCTCTGCACACCTGCATGCTCTGGTCCATGGCGTGTCACACAGTCCTCTTCATTTCTCATTGCCACACTTCCTGGTGTACTTTACTGGGTCTTCATGTCTTCAGTTCAGAGTTCCGCACCTGGTTTAGGAACTAATTCAACGGGAGAAGATCAGAGTCCGACCAGGAAAAGATAAATGCACCGTGATGCCCTCACCTCCTGTGTGGACCCTATGAGCTCTTCCCTCCTTATCAGATGCTATCTGTGTAGTTTCTCCTGAAATATCACCACCTGGAATCAACACACTGGCATTTGAAGTCACGACCCAATGGTATGCTAATTCTGAAAAAGACATTTTTTGAAATGCTATGATTAGTGGCATTTACCAATTTCCTTGACGTAAATTCTTTTTTCATGGCCATAATCAAGATGCCAACGAGACATCCCTGAATGCAGGGTTGGGAAGCGTTGGACAGACTTGTCTTCACTCATAAGCACCAGGCATCTGATAGCTCACGTATACATCTTATTACCTTCCATTTTAGAGTGAATAATCATTTCTACTTCAGTATTTTGGCACAGGTAAAAGCAGTCCCATTACTGCGCGTATACCCAAAGGAATATAAATCATTCTATTGCAAAGATACATGCACACATGTGTTCATCGCAGCACTATTCACAATAGCAAAGACATAGAATCAACCCAAATGCCCATCAATGATAGACTGGATAAAGAAAATGTGAGACATATACACCACGGAATACTATGAAGCCATAAAAAGAAACAAGATCATGTCCTTTGCAGGGACATGGATGGAGCTGGAAACCATTATCCTCAGGAAACTAACACAGGAACAGGAAATCAAACGCTGCATGTTCTCACTTACAAGTGGGTGCTGAACAATGAGAATGCGTGAACACAGGGAGGGGAACAACACACACTGGGGCCTGTCGGGGGGGGGGTGGGGTAGGGGTAGGGAGAGCATTAGGAAAAATAGCTAATGTATGCTGGGCTTAATACCTAGGTGATGGGTTGACAGGTGCAGGAAACCACCATGGCGCACATTGACCTATGCAATAAGCCCACACATTCTGCACATGTACCCCGGAACTTAAAATAAAAATAAAAATTAAAATTAAATTATGACACCATGATCCTAGCATATCCAAAAAAGACAAAAATGCCAATATCAAATGTCGGAGAAAATAGGGCTGAATTAAAAATCCAATACAACGCCGGGCGCAGTGGCTCACGCCTGTAATCCCAGCACTTTGGGAGGCCAAGGTGGGTGGATCACTTGAAGTCAGGAGTTTGAGACCAGCCTGGCCAAACGTGGTGAAACCCTGCCTCTACTAAAAATACAAAAATTAGCCGGGTGTGGTGGCACTCGCCTGTAGTCCTAGCTACTAGGGAGGCTGAGGCAGGAGAATCACTTGAACCCGGGAGGCGGAGGTTGCAATGAGCTGAGATCATGCCACTGAACTCCAGCCTGGGTGACAGAGCGAGACTCCGTCTCAAAAAAAAAAACAAAAAAAAAAAACCCTCAAAAGCTCAGGCAGCAAAAGCAAAAATAGGCAAATGAGATCATAGCAAACTGCAAACCTTCTGCACAATCAAGGAAACAAACAGCAGAGTGAAGAGACCACCTACAGAATGGGAAAGAATATTTGCAAGCAAGAGATTAATCTCCAGAAAATACAAGGAGCTCAAACAATGCAGAGGTTTTGAAGGATGGTGATGAGAAGGTTCTGCTACTTACAGAAAGGAAGTTTAGGAGAAACAAAACCACAAACCTAGGTGGTGGGATGGCTTGATCTGCTTCTGTCTGTGACTCACTTAACAGTCTTAAACACATCTCCCTAAGCCTCCTTCCCCCGGTGGGATTCCTGGGTCTTGTGAGGACCTCATCGGTCCCTCTGGTAAACCCAGGCACAGAGTGGAGCAGCTCTTGTTTTCTCAGGATCTTCCCCTTCACATACAATTAACGCACCCACACGATGCTACTCTTAGAACCCTTCAAATAAATGTTTCCCGGTTCATTCACTACCAGAATCCAAGCTCAGCTTGTTCCCCAGCTTAGGACTGAGTGGTATCTTGGAGGTAGTTTCCACCATAGCCCCCTTCCTCTGCTATAAGGCTCAGTGACACACCAGAGACACCCCCTCCAGCCAGGCTCCTGGAAGGTCTGGATGAAGACTGGGATGCTGAGGCATTGCTCAGCAATGTGGCTTAACTCAAACTTCTATGTGAAACTTCCAACCACTTTCAGCAAGGGGTCACTTCCAGCGTCTTGGGGTGTGAGGGCACTTTGGTTGGTCCCTGCAATATCAGACCCTATAAAGATCCTACAAACATGTTGCAGACTCTTTGAAGATTCTGGCACTTTCAGACATGCTGTTGGGAAATGGTGACACCCATAACCTTCTAGTTCCAGGACAGGGAGCCTTAGCCCAGGGCTATGTTTTCTGAGGGTCCTCAAAGTAAACAGTTCTATGTGCCAGGAGAACCCTAAATCTCATATGGTTCTAAGGGCAGAAAGCCACACACGCACCGGCAAAAAGCAAGAGATTCAAGGAAAAGCTGAGCAAAGACAGACAGGAAAACACACACATGATGAGCCAGCTTGTAGAGCTAGAACTGAGATGGAGAGAGGCACGAGTGGGTAACAGAGTGTGCTCCCCAGAACAGGTGGAGAGAATGCCTTTTTCATGCCCTGAGGATAGGCTGGGTAAGGCTTGTGCTCGACAGTCAAGGACTATTTTTTTCCCCAGGCGTCTACAAGAGACCTTCCTTCTCAGCTCAACTGTGCCCTGCAGTAAGTAATGATGGAGAGAATGTGACTTTGCTCTGCAGCTCTGGAAGCTCATTTGACCTGTGCCTTCTAACGAGGAAGGTAAGGCCCCTGGACACTGGCTCACTGGGGTGCAGAGACAGAGTGGGGCATTCAGGCCAACTTCTCTCTGGGTCTTGGGGCTGGTGATGGGACCTCTAGATGCTGCAGCTCTCTGTCGATGGCTCTGCCTGTGAGTGATCAGCCCTAGATGACCACTGTTACTGGGGGTAGCCCATGCCTGCTGCATGCCCTGTGAAACACTAAATCATATAGCCACGTCTGAGGGACAGCCTGCTGGAGACATGGGAATCTTAGGGATTCCAGACAAAATGAAGCAATGAGAAACACAAAGAGGAAAAGAGAGGTTGAGTATGACAGTGGTGTCAGGGTGTAGGGTGGTAGACAGGGCAGCTCCACACTCTCCACTGCTTCCTGTCTGGAGGCCCACTTTGGGGTCCTACTTATCCAGGTGAGTGAAGGAAGAGGTCAGGACAAACACAGGAGGTGAAGCCAGATACAGTGTGGGGAGATAAGCAGTGGCCTCAGCCTCTAGCCCTTTTCCATCTTCCAGAAGCCCCTCCTGAGCTCTCATCACAGACAGATTTCCCATTTGGAAACCCAGATATTTATCATGCCGGGGGGGGGAGGCAATGTCTCTTGATTATGGGGACTTTCCATCACCAGGCACCTGCTAGTCCTCTCTATACCTTCCCTTCAGGAAAGGAATTGTCCCTCATGGGATTCCAGGGAAGAGACCCCAGGACCCCTATCAGTCACTAGGGAGATGACAGAGTAGAGGAAGTCAGGGGACCAACCCTCCACAGAGAATGGTCCTACTTCAGTGGGGTGAGGGAAACTCTCACTCATCCATTTGCTGTCCTGTTACCTCGGAACCCTAAGAGAACTTGTTAGTCACACACAGAATCTACCCCTGAATGTGGTGTGCAAAGTGGGGCTCTTAGCCTCCAGTGTGAAGTCCCTGGGAAGATGGAATGTCCCTGTGTGAGTGAAGGCTGTGCCACCGCCCAGCTATGTGGCCTTGGGCTAGGCAACCCCTCCCAGGTCCCCAGTTCCCCATCTGCATCGGAGACTGTGGCCAGTGCGGGAATCCACAAGGCCCTTCAGCCTCCAAAGCTCTGGGACAGAGGCCTCGTCCACAGGGAGGAAGGGGTCAGAGTGACCTGAGTCCCTACTCAGGAGCGAGTCTAATCCACTCTCCATCGGGGCCTGTGGGGAAGGGAAGATGAAGAAACGGAGCCTGCACCTGGCTATGTGGGCGCAGTAGATTAAGGGGAGGATGAGGGTTCCTGAGAGTGTGTCATGTGGCAGAGACCCTGCAGCACACTCAGGAAGGGCTCTGGAAGGATCCAAGGAAATTTTCCAAGAAGAGGGCAGAGTAAGTGACAGAGACCCTCAACCATGGATTTCACTGAGGTGCCCATGATGACATAGGGAGAACGGGGGTGTCTGGGCAGGAAGAATATCGTCAGGGTGAAATGAATGGTGATGAGCTTCGTGTCAGAGCTCCTGTGGAGGGAGGGGCCTGGCCCACATGAAAAGGTCTCTGATCCTACCCCAGCCCCCAGCCCCTGTTCTCCAGGATGACACTGTGGGAATTCCATCAGGAGGGGTGTGATAGGGCTGGTCTTCCTGGCTCGATTCACAACACTGGCTGGGGACTGGGAACCCATGGGGAGCCACAGGTGGAAAGGGAGGAGCCTCAGTGAACCCAGCAGGAACAAACATAGGGTCTGACATGATGGAACTCACTTCCTGGAGGCCAAGAAAGACACTTGCGGGACAAAAGGGAAAGAGCGGTGGCTTGCTTAGTTCCATTCACTGACAACCCACAGGAGATGTCCAGTCCTTTTTTGATTTATTATTTTATTTTATTATATTTTATTTTATTTTATTTTATTTTCACATGGAGTTTTGCTCCTATTGGCCAGGCTGGAGTGCAATGGCACGATCTTGACTCACTGCAACCTCCACCTCTCAGGTTCAAGCGATTCTCCTGCCTCAGCCTCCTGCATAGCTGGGATTACAGGCGACTGCCACCACAGCCAGGTAATGTTTGTATTTTTAGTAGAGATGAGGTTTTGCCATCTTGGCCAGGCTGGTCTCAAACTCCTGATCTCATGTGATCCGCCTGTATCAGACTGCCAAAGTGTTGGGATTACAGGCGTGAGCCACCACACCCAGCCTTTTGTATTTTTAGTAGAGATGGGGTTTCACCATGTTGGTCAGGCTGGTCTTAAACTCCTGACCTCAGGTGATCCATCCACCTCGGCCACCCAAAGTGCTGGGAGTACAGATGTTAGCCACCGTACCCAGCGAGAGTTTCAGTGCTCTATCGGATTCCCTGCCTACTCCATGTTGCATGTAATGTTCCACCTCAGGGATGTTTCTCTCCTTTCTGTCTCCTTCCTCTTCTCCTTCTCCTTTTTTCTTTCTAATTTTTATTTTTTTGAGACAGAGCCTTGCTCTGTTACCCAGGCTAGAGTACAGTGGCACGATCCCAGCTCACTGCAACCTCTGCCTCCTGGGTTCAAGAGATTCTCCTGACTCAGCCTCTCAAGTAGCTGGGATTACAGGCACCCGCCATCACACCCAGCTAGTTTTTGTATTTTTAGTAGAGACGAGGTTTCACCATGTTGGCCAGACTGGTCTTGAACTCCTGCCCTCAGGTAATCCACCCGCCTGTGGCCCCCCAAAGTGCTGGGATTACAGGCGTGAGTCACCACTCCCAGCCCTGAATGATCTTTCCTCTTTAGTGTGTTCTCACAACCACCTCTCACTGAGCTTTCTTGTTTTTTGTTTTTGTTTTTGTTTTTGTTTTTGTTTTTGGCAGAGTCTGGCTTTGTTGCCTATGCTGGAGTGCAGTGGTGCAATCTCAGCTCACTGCAACCTCCGTCTCCTGGGTTCAAGCGATTCTCCCACCTCAGCCTCCTGAGTAGCTGGGATTACAGGCACCCACCACCACACCCAGCTAATTTTTGCATTTTTAGTAGACACAGGGTTTCACCATGTTGGTCAGGCTGGTCTCGAACTCCTGACCTTGTGATCTGCCAGCCTCAGCCTCCCAAAGTGCTGGAATTACAGGCATGAGCCACCACTCCCAGCCCTGGATTATCTTTCCTCTTTAGTGTGTTCTCACAACTACCTCTCACTGCTGGGTTTTCTCTCTTTCTTTTTTTTTTTTTTTTTTTTTTTTTTTGAGACAGTCCGGCTTTGTTGCCCAGGCTGGAGTGCAGTGGCGCGATCTCGGCTCACTGCAAGCTCCACCTCCCAGGTTCAAGCGATTCTCCCACCTCAGCCTCCCTAGTAGCTGGGATTACAGGCGCATGCCAGCACACCCAGCTAGTTTTTGTATTTTTAGTAGAGACAGGGGTTTCACCATGTTGGTCAGGCTGGTCTTGAACTCCTGACCTTGTGATCTTCCTGCCTCGGCCTCCCAAAGTGCTGGGATTACAGGTGTAAGCCACTGCACCCAGCCAGCTTTCTCATTCTTATCCCTTAGTTCTCTGCCAGGGAATAAGATAGAAACCATTCCCTCAACCACATTCTAGTCATGGTCCCTATTCTCATGTTTCCACTTCTCTCTCTTTGGTAATAAATCAATTAATTGAGAAACAAGTAGCTAAATGTTCATCTTCTGCTAGTCTGCATCCCCTTATTTTCCCAGAGCCTCCCCTAATGAAACTGACTTTATTTACTGAACGCAGGAAATGGGTCTCTCCAGATCAGGATGACTTTCTGCTGGGAAATATTTGTCTTTGCATCAGTGGGGAAAAAGAAAGCCGATGTCATGAGTGGAGGCTCTGAGAAAATAAGGGCTGTGTTTTCAGTTTAGACCCAGCTAAGTTGGGAGCTGACATAGATATGATGTTGGGTCCACCCTCCACGGGCAGGTTTTCAGACAAAGGATCCCTGGCAATCAGGGGACACCTCAGGTCTGGGCTGAGATGTGTGCAGAGGGCCTGGGTCCTCCTGAGCCCCTGCACTGGGGGGGGAATAAGAGACAGGCCCAGCAAGGGGCTGTCCACTTCCTGTGGGTTCACAGCTGTGGGGACCCAGGCAGGCGGCAGCAGGCTCTGACTTAACCACATCCGTGCATCTGTCTGTCATGGAGGGCCATGTGGTCACCTGTCCCACAGCTGGAGCACGCAGAGCAGGCATCATGGTGTCCATCCTCACTGTTCTTCTGTGCCTCAGTCAGTGGTGGAGAGACGAGGGACAGGAGGGGCACTGGGCTGAGGTGGGGAGGGTCCCACAGCAGCCTTGTTCACCAGAGAGCCTCAGGGCTCCAGTGGCTACTGGTGCTCCAACAGGAAGGGAAGCAGCCACACCTCTGTGTTCCAAATCCCCCACAGGAAACTCTTCTCCATGGCTGAGTCTGGGCCAGAAAGCCCAAGCACTTGCAGGTGAGTCTCTGCTAACCTCCCATGCCTGACCTCACACTCAGCACCTGGACTCTCATCTCAGGGGCTTCTGAACTGAGGGTGAGAAAATCAAGAGGGTCTGTGACCTGAGCTGGGAATGAGGAGCGGGGGAGGTCTGTGGACCCCAGCCTGTGGTTTCTTCCAGGGACCCTCCCCAAACCCAGCCTCTGGGCTGAGCCAGGCTCTGTGATTACCTGGGAGAGCCCCATGACCCTCTGGTGCCAGGGGACCCTGGATACCCAGGGTTACTATCTCACCAAGGAAGGAAACCCCATGACCTGGTACCAACAGAGCCCACCAGAGCCCAGGAACAAGACCAACTTCTTCATCCCATCCATGAGAGAGCACCATGCAGGGAGATACCACTGTCACTATCTCAGCCCTGCAGGCTGGTCAGAGCGCAGCGAGCCCCTGGAGCTGGTGGTGACAGGTAAGAGGACACTCAGGGGTCCCAGCCCCAGGCTCTGCCTGCAGGAAGGGGGTCAGCTCTCAAGGGCATCTCCGTTCTAATAACTCAGCCCTGGGGGATGATGTGGGACGCGTGAGCCCCATTTAAGACAGTGTCTCCTTCTCTCCTAGGAGCCCACAGAAAACCCACTCTCTCAGCCCTGCCGAGCCCTGTGGTGACCTCAGGAGAGAACGTGACCATCCAGTGTAGCTCAAGGGTGGGATTTCACAGGTTCATTTTGATTGAGGAAGGAGAAAACAAGCTCTCCTGGATGCTGGACTCACAGGAACTCTCCAAGGGGCTGTCCCTTGTCCCTGGCCCTGTTCCCTGTGGGCCGTGTGGCTGCCAGTCACCGGTGGATGTTCAGATGCTATGGGCATTACACGAACTTCCCCTGGGTGTGGTCGGAACCCAGTGATACCATGGAGATCCTGGTCTTAGGTATGGATGTCTTCCTCCTTGCCCTATTTATTTTTGAGAACTTACTCTCACGGAGCCCCATGTAGGAGGGTGGAACAAGGGAAGTTTGGGACTCCTGAGCCCAGAGACACTGAGTGTGAGAGACAGTGAGACCTGCAGGGCCAGGAGGGGAGAAGGAAGGGGTGTGGGAGGAACCAGCCCTCCTAGTCCCGACTCTTCTTTCCCTCCAGGCGTGTCTAGGAAGCCCTCCCTCCTGACCCTGCAGGGCCCTGTCGTGGCCCCTGGGGAGAATCTGACCCTCCAGTGTGGCTCTGATGTCGGCTATGACAAATTCACTCTGTACAAGGAGGGGGGACATGACCTCGTCCAGGGCTCTGGCCGGCAGCCCCAGGCTGGGCTCTCCCAGGCCAACTTCACCCTGGGCCCTGTGAGGGTCTCCCACGGGGGCCAGTACAGATGCTACGGTGCACACAACCTCTCCTCCGAGTGGTCGGCCCCCAGTGACCCCCTGAGCATCCTGATCGCAGGTGAGGAGCCCAGCAGGTTCAGTCAGGGACCCAGGCTCCGCACAGGCCCTGCTGGGGGAGCCCAGGTGGTGATGGCCGGGATGAGGGGTGGGGGTCCTAAGGGACGGAGAGACAGACAGAGACAGGGGATGGGCGGGGAGGGGGAGACTCAGAGAAAACAGAGACAGAGACACTGAGGGTCCCAGGGAGAGGCCTGGGGAGGTGTCAGCTCAGAACGAGGTGGGGCAGCCCCTCACCCATCCTTCTTCTCTCCAGGACAGATCCGTGGCAGACCCTCCCTCTCGGTGCAGCCGGGCCCCACGGTGGCCTCAGGAGAGAACGTGACCCTGCTGTGTCAGTCACGGGAGCAGTTGGACACTTTCCTTCTGACCAAGGAGGGGGCAGCCCATCACCCACTGCGTCTGAGATCAGAGCACCAAGCTCAGCAGCACCAGGCTGAATTCCCCATGAGTCCTGTGACCTCAGCCCACGCGGGGACCTACAGGTGCTACAGCTCACGCAGATTCTTCCCCTACCTGCTGTCTCACCCCAGTGACCCCCTGGAGCTCGTGGTCTCAGGTGAGGCCGCTGACCCTGTCCTCTCTGAGCTCAAACCTCAGCTCAGGCCCTGCCCCCAGGAGAGCTCAGGACGCTAAGGAAAGAGGGGAGTAAAGGGGGAGGGTCGGCAGGGGAGGGCCCAGCCCATGAGAGGGTGGAAATAGTCAGGGACCTCCTAATCCTGGGCTCCCACCCCAGAGACCTCAGATGGGGCTAAAGGCCAGGGAGGGCTGAAATGAGATATGGAGAAACCTTGGAGGAATCATGCTTAGGCTGAGGGTAGAAGATGGAGGCCCCACCCACTCCCCACCTGGGCTCCCCTGGCGGCCCCAAAATACTCAGTGCATACCTGAGACGAAGGGGAGATCATGCACCTGCTCACTGCAGCAATGCAGGCAAATTATTCAACAGCAAACCTCGTGTGCAATTCCTTTCTGTCCTTTATTTTTTATGTCCACATATCTAGTTTCTCTTTCTGTTTCTGAAGATTTCAAAGCAATGCTGGCATTTATAATTTACACATTTAATTTGTTAGGTAGCGTTATGATGTAAAATAACTGTGCTCTGATTTTCTTTGGGATTAAATTAAATATGTGCATTCATGATGGAGAATAACTTCTCATTAATAATGTCTTTGTATCCAATACATTTAAAATTAAACTTTATACAGTTAGCAGATGCTTGAAGTTGTATTCATAAAAATTGTGGACATTGTGAATTTTAAGCATTGTTTTACTACTTGAATAATTTGAAAGTCTTTGATTCCTTTCTATTTTCTAAAATTAGTTACGTATGGATGAGAAAGCTATTGGTTTGGGTATGCTAATTTTAGTTCCTATTAACTTACCACAGACACACTCCCTTTCAATCCTTTCCGAAATGATCTCTTCTGATTTATTGATAATAATTACATTAACCACAAGAAAATGGAGGACAAACTTGTTTGTTTCTAAATTATATAATACTCTTCTCACTTCAAATATATATGTATGTGTTTATATATACTCACACACTATTATATATCTTATAATATATATTATGTATTATATATTTATATATACACTATTATATATCTTATATATTATGTATTATATATTTATATATACCCACACATTATTATATCTTATAATATATATTATGTATTATATATTTATATATACCCACACATTATTATATCTTATAATATATATTATGTATTATATATTTATATATGCACTATTATATATCTTATATATTATGTATTATATATTTATATTACCCACACATTATTATATCTTATAATATATATTATGTATTATATATTTATATATACACACACTATTATATATCTTATTATATATTATGTATTATATATTTATATATACTATTATATATCTTATAATATATAATGTATTATATATTTATATATACACACACTATTATATATCTTATATATTATGTATTATATATTTATATATACATACTATTATATATCTTATAATATATTATGTATTATATATTTATATATATACACTATTATATATCTTATTATATATTATATATTTATATATGCACACACTATTACATATCTTATTATATATTTATATGTATACACACACTATTATATATCTTATTATATATTATGTACTATATATTTATATATACTATTATATATCTTATAATATATAATGTATTATATATTTATATATACACACACTATTATATATCTTATATATTATGTATTATATATTTATATATACATACTATTATATATCTTATAATATATTATGTATTATATATTTATATATATACACTATTATATATCTTATTATATATTATATATTTATATATGCACACACTATTACATATCTTATTATATATTTATATGTATACACACACTATTATATATCTTATTATATATTATGTACTATATATTTATATATACTATTATATATCTTATAATATATAATGTATTATATATTTATATATACACACACTATTATATATCTTATATATTATGTATTATATATTTATATATACATACTATTATATATCTTATAATATATTATGTATTATATATTTATATATACACACTATTATATATCTTATTATATATTATATATTTATATATGCACACACTATTACATATCTTATTATATATTTATATGTATACACACACTATTATATATCTTATATATTATATATTTATATATACTCACACTATATCTTATAATACATATTATGCATACACATATGCATAATACATATTATCTATACACATATGCATAATACATATTATGTATACACATATGCATAACACATATTATGTATACACACATATTTACACCTATGCATATATGTATGTATGTATGCGAATGTACCTCTGCCACGGCAGGGAAAGGTTCTATCACACAACTACAGAGCAGTTAGGAGAAGTGTAGACACAAAGGAATGCAGCAACTGAGGGACATGTTGGCTTAAGTCTCTTCAACTCCTCACACACCTCCCCCTTTTTTGGTTGATTCTCAGGAGCAGCTGAGACCCTCAGCCCATCGCAAAACAAGACAGACTCCAAGACTGGTGTGTAAGGAGATGCTCTCGGTTATGGGGCTGGCACAGAGGGTCAGGTCCTGTGAAGGGGAGGTGGGTGCCCTGGGTGGACATCCAGGGGTCCCGGGTGATGTTGATCTGCCCTGACCTCTGAGACCTCTTGGTCCACCATCCCCAGCCTCACACCCCCAGGATTACACAGTGGAGAATCTCATCCGCGTGGCTGTGGCTGGCTTGGTCCTGGTGGTCCTCGGGATTCTGCTGCTTTAGGATTGGCACAGCTAGAGAAGTCCCCAAGATGCAGCAAGGAGGTAAATACATGAGAGAACAATGCACCCTTCAGAGTGCCAGAGCCTTGGCAATGAATCTGATAGTCCTAGGAGGTTCTGGAAGAAAGTCTGGACCATCATTCGGGAAACCGTCTACTGAGAAAGTCGAGAAGGGGAGGCTTGGGTCAGGTTCAGGAAGATGTCTGGGTGCCTGTAGAGAACGCTTCCTCCATTAAACTTCCATTAAATGGCAGTGCTTTCAGTCCTGCTGTTGTGGATCCTCCGTGTCTGCCCCTCCCTTCCTTTCGCTCTCTGTGATGTGAAGGCACGTCCCCCATGGTGGGTTTGCATCCACACCCCTGCGATCACGTGCTCTGGTCCACTGTCCTGTAATACATTTGTCTTTGTTTCCAACTACCGCATTCTCTAAAGTGAACTATTGATTCTCCATCTTTTCAGTTCTGAGCATAGATCTGGATTAAATAACTGGAATAGGTGGGCAGATTTGTATTTGGGACTTTGAAACATGAGTCTGAGGCCAGGCACAGTGGCTCACACCTGTAATCCCAGCACTTTGGGAGGCTGAGGTGGGCGGATCACTTGAGGTCAGAAGTTCGAGACCAACCTGGCCAACATGGTGAAACCCTGTCTCTACTAAAAGATACAAAAATTAGCTGGGTGTGGCAGTGAGCACCTGTAATCCCAGCTGCTCAGGAAGCTGAGGTGGGAGAATAGCTTGAACCCGGGAGGCGGAGGTTGCAGTGAGCCAAGATCTTGCCACTGCACTCCAGCCTGGGCAACAGAGCAAGACTCCATCTCCAAAAAAAAAAAAAAAAAAGGGAAATATGAGTCTGAAATGATGCCCTAGCACCCTCTCTGGACCCTGAATTCCCTTCACTCTTCATCGGATGATACCTGTGTACTTCGTCCAGAAATATCATCTCTCAGAATGAGCACACTAACGCTCGAAGGCTCAGCCTCATGGTATTCTGTTAAACTGGCTCTCTGAAAAAATTATTTTCTTAAGAAAACTCTGAACATATAAAGCCCCAGATTTATGGTATTTGCTGATTAGTGTGGTATAAATACGTCCTTTATGGCCAACTTCAGGGTGCCCATATGACGCCATTGAATGCACAGTTGGGAAATAGTCAAAAGAATTGTCGTTCACACGAGTATGAACCAGTTGTAAAGTTTATTTAAAGGTTATAATAATTTCTGCTTCATTCTTATGGTGTAGTTTCAGTAAAATTGTAATGTCAAAAATCATAGCACAATGGAGGGAAAAGAAAAAAATAGGCCGGGTGTGGTGGCTCATGCCTGTAATCCCAACACTTTGGGAGGCCGAGGCAGGAGGATCACCTGAGGTCAGGAGTTCGAGACCAGCCTGGCCAACATGGTGAAACGCTGTCTCTACTAAAAATACAAAAATTAGCCAGACATGGTGGCGCCTGCCTGTAATCCCAGCTACTTGGGAGGCCAAGGCACGAGAATCGCATGAACCCAGGAGGCGGAGGTTGCAGTGAGCCGAGATCACTACAGCCTGGGTGATAGAGCAAGACTCAGTCTCAAGAAAAGAAAAAAGTAGCAAAATCATTTTTTGGAAAGAATATTGAACATGTAGAATTTTAGTACATTAATAGTAAGAGTACAAATTGCTTTAATCAATTAAGGAAGTGTATTGGAATTATCTAGTTAAAAAGAGGAGGCACACGGCTGTGACCCTTCTTAATTATGTACTTAATTATGTACCCTAGAGATAAATGTCTACTTATGTGTCATGATACACTCACAACTGTTATAGGAATGCTGTTCCTATTAGCCAAAGCTATAAAATACCAAAGTCCACCTACGAAAAAAATAAACATAGTGTGGTAAATAGACTCAGTGGAATATTACAAGGTAGTAAAATGCATAAATGAAAATAACAAACAGCACCATACTTCAATTTTCAAGCATAAAGTCAAGTAAATGAAGTATTATTTGAAAATGTGTGCATGGTTATTTCATTACATAAAGGTCAAAAGGAGGGTACATTTATTATTTAGGAAAACACACCTAAGATATCTTTGTAAAATCTGTAAAATCAATAGTACTGTTTCCCCTCTTTCATTCCTTATCTTGAAAATGCTTGTCTCTTTTTCTGCCATGGCTTTCTACCTTGCTTGATATATTACAATTTTGTAACCTGCTTATTTCATCATATGTCATAAGTTCACATGTATATCCCATGAATTATTGAGGGTCTTATTCATTTCAAGTGGCATTTAGGTTTTTAAAAATATCTTTTGGCGACCAGGTGCAGTGGCTCATGCCTGTAATCCCAGCACTTTGGGAAGCCAAGGCAGGTGGATCACGAGTTCAAGAGACAGAGATCATCCTGGCGAACATGGTGAAACCCCGTCTCTACTAAAAATACAAAAAAAAAAAAAATTAGCTGGGCATGGTAGAGGGTGCCTGTAGTCCCAGCTTCTCAGGAGGCTGAGGCGGGAGAATGGCGTGAACCCGAGAGACGGAGGTTGCAGTGAGCCGAGATCGTGCCACTGCACTCCAGCCTGGCAACAGAGTGAGACTCTGTCTCAAAAAAAAAAAAAAAGAAAGAAAGAAAGGAAGAAAAAAAAATCTTCTGGCATTAACTATTAAGAAATTGCACTATAAAAAGAGAATATAATGCATAAGACGGCAATTTGAAAAGATTCAGATATAATTTTTTCTTATCTAGTAAATACTTAGTAATTTGTCTAATGCATGCCTTAAATACATACCACTTTATGCAGAGGTTGCCATGAGCCGAGATCACGCCGTTGCACTCTAGCCTGGGTGGCAGAGCAAGACTCCATCTCAAAAAAAAAAAAGAAAATCTCACAGAAGGAGACCCAGAGCTTCCAGCCTCGCCCAGAGTCTTGGCTCACTCCCTGTGTGTGTGGACCCTAGGGAGCCTCTTCTGTTCCCCACAGAGGTGGAAACTTCCTCCTTAATAACCCCTTGATGGTCCCAGGCACTGGTGACCACTGAGCTTTGCTCTCTCTTTTTTCTTATGGTTCCCTGTCTACTTCCAGGGCTATCACTTTACTTTTTGTGCATTAGACCATGAATAATGTTTTAGAAACATTCTATCAAATTTCTCAGTGCTAGGAACAACTGAGGTTTTTGATTGGGTGCCTCAAATGTCTACCCTTACTGTGGAGTCCGACAACAGGATTCTAACAAGTCCCAACCCCTTCATGCCTTAACCTGGTCTGGAAATAAATTATGTTTAAGCCATCCCATACCCCAGCCACATCAAGCCCCACAACCACTCTGAGAAGTGAGATTTATAGCAAAATGCTCCAAACAAGGTAACTAAGGTTCAGACAAGGGATGTTAATGTGTCCATTTACATAAACAAAAAATGGTAGATGATCAGCTTTCCCTTTGAAATCAGAGTACTAATCTGACTCATTGTTCCCTGAATTTTAGAGGCAGGACCTCAGGAGGAGCTAAGAATCCTACCCCAGGAAAATTACCAATATCAGAAAGGAAACAATGACATCAGTACAGATCCTACAGAATTCAAAAGATTCTAAGTGGACATTATGAAGACATTATTCAGCTTAGATGAAGTGGTCACATATCACAAGAAAACAAACTGTCTAAAACAATCTCTGAAATACCTAGACATTCCCTGAATCATTGAGTTATTAAATAAAATACATTTTAAAATTAAACTCTTTTCAGGAAATAAACTTCAATGTCCCCTAGTGCACTCTCCAAAACATGTAGATAGGAATAAATACTGTTCTGAAAGACATTTCCCTGGAATTACAACCATTCAATATATTTTAAAAGGCAATCATAAAAATATAAAAAGGATATATCAGGAGAAGAAATGTAAATGGCCTAAATTCCCCACATAAAAGGCATAGAGTGGCAACGTGGATAAAAAGCCAAGAGCCAACTGCCTGCTGTCTTCAAGAGACCCATCTCACATGTAATGACACCCACAGGCTCAAAGTAAAAGGATGAAGAAATATTTACTAGGCAACCAGGAAACAAAAAAAAGGAAGGCATTCCTATTCTTATATCACATGAAACACACTTTAAATCAACAGCAATCAGGAAGGACAAAGAAGGGCATTACAAAATGATAAAGGGTTCAATTTGACAGAAGACTTAACTATTCTAAATATATATGCACCCAAATTTGGAGCACCCCGATTCATAAAACAAGTTATTCTTCACCTATGAAAAGAGTTAGACAGCCACACAATAATAGTAAGGGACTTCAGTATCCCACTAACAACGTCAGATGAATCACTAAAACAGAAAACTAACAAAGAAATTCTGGTCTTAAAGACAACACTTGACCAATTGGACCTCATAGACATCTACAGAGTACTCCACCCAACAACTGCAGAATATAGATTCTTCTTATCTGCACACACAAAAAACATATCATATTCTAAGACTGGCCACAAAGCAAGTCTCAATAAATTCAAAGAATCAAAATCATAACAAGGCACACAATAAAAATAGAAAAAAATACCAAGATGATCTCTCAAAACTACAGAAAAACATGGAAATTTAACAACTTGTTTCTGAATGAATATTAAGAGCCATCTATGACAAATCCACAGCCAACATCATATTGAATGGTCAAAAGCTGGAACTGTACCCCTTGAGAACTCTTGGGTGAACAATGAAATTAAAGCAGAAATCACAAAACATTATTTAAAATTAATAAAAATAGAAACAAACTTACCAAAACCTTTGGGATGCAGTTAAAGCAGTGATAAGAGGAAAATTTATAGCAATACATGCCTCATCAGAAGTTTAGAAAGATCTCAAATTAGTGACTTAACACTGCATCTAGAGGAACTATTAAAAAAAAGGAACAGTCCAAACCCAAGGCCAGCAAAAGATGAGAAATAACTAAAGTCAGAGAGAACTGAATAAATTGAGACCAAAAAGTCCATACAAGAGATAAATAAAACCAAGAGTTTTTCTTTGAAAAAAAATAAACAAAATTCATAGACTGTTAGCTAGATTAACAAAGAAAAAGAGAAAAGATCCAAATAAACACAAATAGAACTGACAAAACAATGTTACGAACAATCCCACAGAAATAGAAAAGATCGTCAAAGACTATTATGAACACCTCTATACAAACAAGCTAGAAAACCTAGAAGAAATGGATAAATTCCTGGTAACACAAAATTTATCATATTTCAACCAGGAAGAAAGTGAAAACCTGAACAGACCAATAACAAGTTCAGAAATTTAATCAGTAATAAAAACCCTACTAACTAAAAATAGCCCAGGACCAGACGGATTCACAGCCAAAATCCAACAGCCATACAAAGAAGAACTGATACCGATCTTACTGAAACTTTTGGAAAAAATCAAGGAGTGGGGGCTTCTTCCTAACTCATTCTATGAAGCCATCATCACCATGATACCAACATCTGTCAGAGACATAATGAAAAAAAGAAAACTACAACTAAATATCCTTAATGAACATAGACATAAAATCCTCAACAAAATGCTAGCAAATTGAATCTGTCAGTGCATCAAAAGTTAATTCACATGATCAAGTAAGCTTTATTTTTGGGATGCAAGGTTGGTTCAACCTACAAAGTCAACGAATGTGATTCACCTCATAAACATAATTAAAAACAAAAACTATATGATCATCTCAATAGATGCAAAAAAAGCTTTCTGTAAAATCCAACATCCCTTCATGATAAAAACTGTCAATAGGCATCAAAGGAACATACCTCAAAATATTAAGAGCCATCTATGACAAACCCACAGCCAACATCATATTGATGGGCAAAAGCTGGAACCATACCCCTTGAGAACCGAAACAAGACCAGGATGACCACTCCCGCCATTTTAATTCAACATGGTACTGGAAGTCCTAGCCAAAGCAATCAGGCAAGAGAAGGAAATAAAAGGCATTAAAATTGGAAAAGAAGTAGTGATACTGTCTCTCTTTGCTGATGAAATAATTTTATACATAGAAAACCCTAAAGACTCTGTCAGAAGGCTCCTGAAACTGATAAACAAATTCAATAAAGTTTCGGGATTAAAAAAATGTACACAAATTAGTAACATTTCTATGCACCACTAACATTCTAGCTGAGAACTAAATCAAGAACACAATTCCATTTACACTAGCCACAAAGAAAATAAAATACCTAGGAATCCATCTAACCAAGAAGGTGAAAATTCTCTACAAGGAGAACTACAAAACACTTCTGAAAGAAATAAGAAATGATACAAACAAATGGAAGAATATTCCATGCTCATGAATTAGGAGAACAAATAGTTAAAATCGCCATACTTCCAAAAACAAATTGCAGAGTCAATGCTATCCATTTCAAAATGCAATGTCATTTTTCACGAAATTATAAAAATTTATTCTAAAATGTATTTGGCACCAAAAAAAGAGCCTGAATACACATAGGAATCCTAAGCACAAAGAACAAAGCCCAGGCATCACATTACCCAACTTCAAACTATACTACAATGCTATAGTAACCCAAACAGCATGATACTACTACAAAAACAGACACATAGACCAATGAGACAGAATAGAGAACCCAGAAATGAGGCTACATACCTACAATCATCTTTGAAAAAATTGACAAAAACAAGCAATGTGGAAAGTACCCTTTCTTCAATAAATAGTTCTGGGATAACTGACTACTCATATGCAAAATAATAGAACTGGACCCCTAACTCTCACTATATACAAAAATTAACCCAAGATAGTTTAAAGATTTAAATGTAAAACCTCAAAATATTAAAATTCTAGAAGAAAACCTAGGAAATATCCTTCTCAAGATAGACTTTGGCAAAGAATTTATGGCTAACTCCCCAAAACCAATTGTGACAAAGACAGAAATTGGGACCTAACTCAACTGAAGAGCTTCTGCACAGCAAACGAAAGTATCAACAGAGTAAACAGATAACCTACAGACTGGGAGAAAATATTTGCAAACTATGCATCTGACAAAGTTCTAATATCCAGAATCTATAAGGAATGTAAACAAATCAACAAGCAGAAAACCAAAAAACCTCAATTAAGTATGACATGAACAGACACTTCTCAAAAGAAGATGTACACATGGCCAAAAAACATATGAACAAATGCTTATTATCAGTAATCATCAGAGAAATGCAAATTAAAACCACAGTGAGATACCATCTCACAACAATCAGAGAAGCAGAAGCAATTACTAAAAAGTTTTTTGTTTTTTTTAATAACAGATGCTGACAAGATTGTGGAGAAAAGGGAACACTTATACACTCTTGGTGGGAATGTTAACTAGTTCAGCCAATGTGATAAGCAGTTTGGAGACTTCTCAAATAACTTAAAATAGAACTACTATTCAATCAAGCAATCCCACTACTGGGTATATACCAAAAGGAAGGTAATTAACTATGTCAAAAAGACACATGCACTAGTATATTCATTGCTGTGCAATTCAGAATAGCAAAGATTTGCAGTCAACCTAAGTGCTCACCAACAGTGGATTAGTTAAAGAAAATGTGCTACATATACACATGGAACATTACATGGCCATAAAAAATAATGAAATCATGTCCTTTGCAGCAACATGAATGTAGCAGGAGGTCAATCTCCTAAGTGAACTAACCCAGGAACAGAAAACCAAATACCACATGTTATCACTTATAACTGAGAACCAAACATTGAATACACATGAACATAAAGATGGAAACAACAGATACCGAGGACTACAGATGGGGGGAGGAGTAGGGAGGTATAGGCTGAAGAAACACCTGTTGGATTCTATGCTCATTGCCTGGGTGATGGCATTGTTGGAACCACAAACCTCAGAGTCACACAATATGCCTATGTAACAAACCTGCATGCATACCTTTAATCTACAGTAAAGGTTGAAGTTATTTAAAAATAGGAAGAAGAATTACCCTATACCTAAAGCTAAGATTTTTCCCTTTGAATATTCGTTTCTTCATCACTGTAGATAAGCAGGGAAAGAAAAATTATTATACTATACTAGCCTTTTATGTGACCATGAGGATTTGGGGTAGGTAGGTGGACAGCTTAGATAATTCACCAGGATATTGATACAGGCTCCATGGCTGGAAATAACCAAGGATGAGTGCTGTGTTTTGAGTGGTCTCCCCCAGAAACGTTTGTTGAAATCCTAACCCCTGGTATGTATGAATGTGAATTCATATTATATAAAAAGGAATAAATAGCCTGAGCACAGTGGCTCACACCTGTAATCCCAGCACTTTGGGAGGCCAAAGCAGGTGGATCATTTGAGGTCAGGAGTTCTGGCCAATATGGCAAAACTTCATCTCTACAAAAAAAAAATACAAAAAAAAAAATTGGCTGGGTATGGTGGCGCATGCCTGTAGTCCCAGCTACTCAGGAGGCTGAGGCAGGAATTGCTGAAACCTGGAAGGCAGAGGTTGCAGTGAGCCAAGATCATGCCACTGCACTCCAGCCTGGGTGAGACGGCAAGATATTCTGTCAAAAATAAATAAATAAAAAACAGAAGAAGAAATACAAGAATGACAGCAAACTTTGTATTCAAAACTATGAAAGTAAGAAACAGGTGGACCAACATTTTTAAAGTGCTACAAGAAAATATTTCAAACTAGAATCTTTCAACCTGAAAAGGAAAACATTTTCCTGCAATAAAGGTGCCATTAAAAATGTCTCACAATTTATTACATGAAGCATTGTTCTACAATAAATGTTAAGCTCTTGAAGCAAAGATTAATGATACCATTTAGTAACTTGAAATTCAAAAAAGTGGAAGTATCCCAAGAGGCAAATACGTGTGCAATTATTAAATGTTTCATATCAACACCCAACCTTATGCTGTCTACATAAGCTGCACTTCAAATACTAATCCACAAGATGTAAATATTGAAAGAATGACATTACCTTGTCATGATAATGCCCAGTGCAAAATATGCTTCTAGTCAGTTGTATACATAGAATAGGTAAATGTTTGTAATAAAAAGTATTCCTCAATAGAAGTTTCTTAACTCAAAGAATGAAATATTTCACCATGCACATACAAAGAAGAGATATATGGAGATATGAAGAGGAGTACTTCATAATGACAAAGAGGCAAATTCATAAATAAGACATAATCATCCTAAATGCCTACACACCTAAAGCTGGAACCTCAAAACACATTAAATTAAAGGCATAATTCAAAACATAATCAATCACATCCAAATTGCAGCTAGAGATAGCAACATTCACCTCACTTCCAGAACAAGTACACAGAAAATTATTAAGCATATGAAAGACTTGAAAAACATTTGTGTAGGCGGCGGGTGCATAAGGTTGGGTGTTGATATGAAACATTTAATAATTTCAATAATCCTAGCACTTTGGGAGGCCAAAATGGGAGGATCACTTGAGGCCAGGAGTTTGAGACCAGCCTGGGCACCATAGTGAGACCCCGTCTCTATTTTTTTTAAATAAAGAAAAACATTTGAATGATTTTTTTCTTAACTGACATTTAGAAAGCATCCACCTCAAATCTTCCTAATCCACAAACTTGTCTAGCACCCCTGGAACATTCACCAAAATAAATTTTTAAATGCTGAATCATAGGTAATATGATAGATGAAACAGTTGAATTAAATTATAAATGTACAACAAGGAAATGCTGGGGAAATTATCAAATATTTTAAAATTAATAAACACACATAGCAATAAACAATGAGTGGAAGAAAAACATTTCAAAGAAAGGTGGAAAATATTTTGTATCAATTAAAAATGAAAACACATCTCGGCAAATGACTGGGGATACAGATAGAACAGCGTTAAGGGACAATAAGCCTCAAATGTCTGTGTTAGAAAAGAAGGAAGAGCTGAGTAAATAGGTAACTTTCACTTGCAGAAATACTACACATCAGCAAATTAATTCCAAAGTAACGTCGAGGAAAAACATAAAATGGCAAGCAAATATATACGTGCATATGTACATACATTCATAAATGACAAACAGGACAGAAAAATCAGTGACATCAATTTTGTTCCTTAGAAGAAACAGGAAAATTGACCCCAAAAAACTTTCCAGGCCACATTTGGTCATGATGGAAATATTTTGGCACTTCCTGGTTAAGCTCAACACCAACTTGCACCCAAAACCAATAATTTCATTTCTAGGTAAATATGTCTAATTAATTCAGCATATGTATGCAAGGGATCACACAGAAACACGATTATCAAGGCCCGAGTTATAAAAGAGAAAATCCGGAAACAACACAAATGTCCATGATAAAAAGAATGGATAATTACATGTTGATAAAGTTATGCATGGACTATTAAACTGCAATCCAAAAGAATAAAATAGAGCTATAAAATTCAATATGTATATGGTGTCATAGAAACACAAATGTGAGAAAAAGAAAGAAAAATACAAAATTTATATTTTTTAAAATTTGAAACAACTATATATGTGAGTGCTTAGGGTGTGTGTGTGTGTGTGTGTGTGTGTGTATAACCATATGTATATAAATGCACACATACGCACACATATAGAATGTCCCGGCCAGGCATGGTGGCTCACACCTGTAATCTCAGCACTTTGGGAGGCTGAAGTAGACAGATCACTTGAGGTTAGGAGTTCAAGACCAGCCTGGCCAACATGGAGAAACCTCCTCTCTACTAAAAGTACAAAAATTAGGTGGGCGTGGTGGTGGGTGCCTGTAAATCCAGCTACTTAGGAGGCTGAGGCACGAGAATTGCGTGAACCTGGGAGGTGGAGGCTGCAATGAGCCGAGGTCTCACCACTGCATTCCAAACTGGGTGACGAAGTGAGATTGCGTCTCAAAAAAAAAAAAAGTTCTAAAAGTTGTGACTTGGGTGTGGCAGATTGTGACATACTGCCAGCTGCTAGAAATGCTGGGGCAGGAGGATTGCTTGAACTCTGAAGTCAAAGAACAGCCTGGGGAAAATAGCACATGAAGAAGAGTTTGAATCTCAGATAAAAACAACAAAAATACATCAAAAGTCTTTAATGTAAGCCAAGCATTCAGTCATCTCCTGTATGAGAGATTGGATCTGAGACGTGTTTTGAGTTGGTTATAGTGAAGGATGCAAGGTGTCAATTCTAGTTGGAACAATTTCCAGGAAGCCATGTTCTGCTCTTGACCAAACAGCCACTGGGCCTCATGCAAGGTAGAAATAGCCTGCATACGTCATCCTCCCATGATGTGGTCAGCATGTAAACTGCATGAGCCCCTCACAACATCCTGTGTGCTGCTGAACTGAGCTGGGGCGCAGCCGCCTGTCTGCACCGGCAGCACCATGTCGCTCATGGTCGTCAGCATGGCGTGTGTTGGTGAGTCCTGGAAGGGAATCGAGGGAGGGAGCGGTGGGGTGGAGATCTGGGCCTGGAGTGGAGATATGGGCCTGGAGTGGAGATATGGGCCTGGAGTGGAGATATAGGCCTGGAGTGGAGATATGGGCCTGGGGTGGAGATATGGGCCTGGAGTGGAGATATGGGCCTGGAACTGTAGATATGGGCCTGAAGTAGAGATATGGGCCTGGAGTAGAGATATGGGCCTGGAACTGTAGATATGGGCCTGGAGTGGAGATATTGGCTTGGAGTGCAGATATGGACCTGGAATTGAGATACGGGCCTGGAGGTGGAGATATGGGCCTAGAGTGGAGATATGGGCCTGGAGGTGGAGATATGGGCCTGGAACTGTAGATATGGGCCTGGAGTAGAGATATGGGCCTGGAGTGGAGATGTTGGCTTGGAGTGCAGATATGGGCCTGGAATGGAGACACGGGCCTGGAGGTGGAGATACAGGCCTGGAGGTGGAGATATGGGCCTGGAGTGTAGATATGGGCCTGGAGTAGAGATATAGGACAGAGGTGGAGATATAGGCCTGGAGTGGAGATATGGGCCTGGAGTAGAGATATAGGACGGAGGTGGAGATATGGGCCTGGAGTGGAGATATGGGCCTGGAGGTGATGTACAGATGGATCATCCATCATGATCTTTCTTTCCAGGGTTCTTCTTGCTGGAGGGGCCCTGGCCACATGTGGGTGAGTCCTTCCCCCAAACCTTAGGTTGTCATCTCCCCACATAAGATGATGTTCCTGAAACGGGAGGCAGGCGACACAGGGGGTTGACTGATGGGCTGACCATGGGAAGCCATGTGGGAATCTCTCATGAACTAGGAAAAGGAAGCCAGGGGAAGCTTCGCCACAGTTCTGTCCTAGCCCTCCCCGGCCTTTCTTTCCCTTGGCTGAGTCTGTGGGGACCCAGGGGGAGACTGAAGTGCTCAAAGGAGTGGTGTGCAGGGAGGAAGTGGTGTCACCGGCAGAGGAAGGGAGAGAAGCAGTGCAAGGAACAACAGGCCTCTGAGGACAAGAGCATAACTCACACCCTCCAGCGTTTCCATGACGGTAGGGGCTGCAATGTGGCTGCTGTCATTCTACCTAAGAGGTGGGGGAACCACAGTCATGACCCTGACATTCCAGATCTTCTAATAGGGGCTCAGTTGTTTATTATGGTTCATGCATTAGCTGATCATGCCCTCCATCCTGTGTCTACCTTGTGTTCTTTTATGTAAGTAATTTTGCAGTGTTAAAATCTAGTAAGAGTCGCTTCTTCAGCACCTGCTCAAAGTTCTCAGCTGACACTTGCTGTAGGGAGACGCCATGTCTATGCGGGATGGGTCCTTCCTGTAGCCCTGGGCACCCAGGTGTGGTAGGAGCCTTAGAAACGTGGAAATGGGAGAATCTTCTGAGCACAGGGAGGGAGGGGCGGCTCCACATCCTCCTCTCTAAGGTAGTGCCTCCTTCTCCCCCAGGTGGTCAGGACAAGCCCTTCCTCTCTGCCTGGCCCGGCACTGTGGTGTCTGAAGGACAACATGTGACTCTTCAGTGTCGCTCTCATCTTGGGTTTAACGAATTCAGTCTGTCCAAAGAAGACGGGATGCCTGTCCCTGAGCTCTACAACAGAATATTCCGGAACAGCTTTCTCATGGGCCCTGTGACCCCAGCACATGCAGGGACCTACAGATGTTGCAGTTCACACCCACACTCCCCCACTGGGTGGTCGGCACCCAGCAACCCTGTGGTGATCATGGTCACAGGTCAGAGGCTTTCTGTCTGGGCTTCTCACTGTCCCACCTCCTGAATCCCAGAGCTTCTGGTGGGGGCGTCCATCAGGGTCCAATCATCCAGGCCCAGACTGTATTTGGGGTAAAGGGGGATTCAGTACAGAGAAATAGTTGCTGTGGTGGGAAGAATAATTGTCCCCAGTGATGGCTACATGGTAATCCATGAACCCTGTGACTATTTATGTCATAGGGCAGGGGACTGAAGGGGAAGATGGAGCTCAGGTTGTTGATGAGTTGACCTTGCGATGGGGAGACAGCCTGGACTGTCCTGCTGTGCTCAGAGTAATCACAAGGGTCCTCATGAGAGGAGGAGGAAGAGGAAAGTGGGGTTAGAGCAACGTCGTGGGAGGGAGACTCCATCAGCCACAGCGGGCTTTGAAGATGGGGGAAGGCCATGAGCCACAAAGGCAGTTGGCCTCTAAGGGCTGGAGAAGTCAAGGGAACTGATTCTTCCCTGAGTCTCCAGAGGAAACACAGCCCTGTAGATGCCTTGATTTTAGCCCAGAGAGAACTGGGTCCGATTTCTGTTCTCCAGAAGTGGAAGGGGTCATTGTATTCTCTCCTGCCCCATGTTTGTGACAATTTTCTCCAGCAGCAACAGGAAACCAACACAGGAACCCAGGTGAAGCACAAGTTAAGAAACCAAACAAGGAGAAGGTTGGCTACACTGATTTTAGCATGGGTGGGATACTGATGCTACCACCAGGCTCGATCCACATAGGGAGGGGTTGATGCTCCTGGAACCAGCACCAGGGGCCACCCTATGGAAGCTGGGGCCATGGAGAAGGCACAGACATGACAGGAGAGGCTCCCAATCCCCATCAGGAACAGGGACACTGATGCCTGCCTTACTGATGAGTTCGTACCTCCTGCCAGCCTTTCCAATCTGTCCAAAAGAGATTGATTCAGGCTGCTAAGAGCCTGGACATGCAGCCTGTCGTGGTTCCTCTTCCACCCCCACATAAACACCAGGAAAGAGATTAGTGGGAAACAGATACAACAGCATAAGAGGTGACACTGAGCACAGTGGGAAGGGAATCAGGGCTACTAGAGACAGAGAGACAGGGAAGAGGGAGGGAGACAGATGGAGGGACCTGCAACAGGGGTTATGGGCACAAAAGAACACGGAGACACAGAGAGGAAGGAGAGAGATAGACACCATGGAGGGGAAGCCTCACTTATTTCAGGTCCCATGAATGGGATGAGAAAGGGAGACGCCTTCTGAACTCACAACCTCTCTTCTTAGGAGTCCACAGAAAACCTTCCCTCCTGGCCCACCCAGGTCCCCTGGTGAAATCGGGAGAGACGGTCATCCTGCAATGTTGGTCAGATGTCAGGTTTGAGCGCTTCCTTCTGCACAGAGAGGGGATCACTGAGGACCCCTTGCGCCTCGTTGGACAGCTCCACGATGCGGGTTCCCAGGTCAACTATTCCATGGGTCCCATGACACCTGCCCTTGCAGGGACCTACAGATGCTTTGGTTCTGTCACTCACTTACCCTATGAGTTGTCGGCTCCCAGTGACCCTCTGGACATCGTGGTCGTAGGTGAGAGAATACAGACCTGCCTCTCACCCTTGCTGGGAGATGGAGTGAATGATCTAGGACTGGAAGCCCCAGGTGGTCATGAGGAAGATGAGTGTGGGGTTCCTATGGAGAGAAAGTGACTTGGTGAGGTCTGTACCAACAAAGGCAGAGAAACAGGAGACACAAGTACAGACCTCATGTCATAACATAGAAGCCAGACACAGGGGCCATACAAGGTGTTAGAAAAAGAGATAAAGAGGTAAAGAAGACACAGAGAGACAGATATATCCCAGAGAGAGGTGTCCTTCTATGCTGACTTTGTTCAGAGACCAGGCACAGGTTAGAAGGTTCCATTCTGTTTTACCTCTACAAAGTGTTCTCTCCCAGGAGAACCCAAAGAGACACATCTATCTGGCCTGAGTTGGGCCGTGTGGCCCCAGGCTGGTGGCACCTACAGATGCTGTGTTTATTCTTAAACCTCTGCCTTCCGTGCAGTGGAGCTGTCGTCGTCGCAGGACACCATGGCCCCAGGTGAGGGAGCAGAACACCAACCCCTGTATGTTGTGAGTTCCTGGAGTCCCCATACTGGATTCTGAGGCTCATATTCAAATAGCACCACATGTTATAGGATTACTGAGAACAAAAGCCCACAGAGAGACACGGAGTGAAATCAGGGAAATCAAAAAGCAAAGACATGAACACACACACAGAATGAGCCAGAAGAAGGGAATTGAGAGACTCACAGACACATAAAGAGATAGAAAAAGAGGGCAGAGAAGTGGAGCGTATGATGGAAGGAAGCAGAGAAAAGCCCTAAAATCAGAGCCCTGAGGGAGGGGCACAAAGACAGGGAAAGATAAAGATGTGGGGATGGATTGCAGAGACTCCAAAAGGGAACTAGAGAGACTGAGAGGCAGAGAAAGACAAGGAGATGGAGAGAGACAGATGATAGATGGATAGATAGATATAGATAGATGAAAGATAAAAGGTAGATGATAGATAATAGAGAGACAGGTGATAGACAAATAGATGATGAATGACTGATAGATGATATAGATAGACAAGTAGAAAGACAGACAGATGATATATAAATAGATATAGAGAGATAGAAAGACAGATAAACACATGATGATAGATGGATAGATGCATACATACATACATTGATTGATAGATGATAGATAACAGAGAGATAGGTCATAGATACACAGATGATGATAGATGATAGATACATACATAGATAAATGATAGATCGATCAATAGATAGTAGATAGAAATATGCAGAAAGTTATGAGCAAGACAGAAAGTGAGAGACTCAGAATTAAAGAAAGAGGAAGATCAAGTCAACCAGTCCAAGGAGGGTCAGAGAGAATAAAATGGTACAAAAAAAGAAAACATAGCTAGGGATGGAGAAGTGAGGTCAGAGACCTAGAGAGACAGAGAAGGTGGAAGGAGGAAATAGACATGAAGAGAGATGGGGGTGGAGGGTGAGAGAGAGAAAGAGAGCATTAAGTCATAGAGCAGGGGAGTGAGTTCTCAGCTCAGGTGTGAGGAGAGCTGTGACAACGAAGAACCTCCCTGAGGAAACCACCTCTTCTCCTTCCAGGTCTATATGGGAAACCTTCTCTCTCAGCCCAGCCGGGCCCCACGGTTCAGGCAGGAGAGAATGTGACCTTGTCCTGCAGCTCCCGGAGCTTGTTTGACATTTACCATCTATCCAGGGAGGCAGAGGCCGGTGAACTTAGGCTCACTGCGGTGCTGAGGGTCAATGGAACATTCCAGGCCAACTTCCCTCTGGGCCCTGTGACCCACGGAGGGAACTACAGATGCTTCGGCTCTTTCCGTGCCCTGCCCCACGCGTGGTCAGACCCGAGTGACCCACTGCCCGTTTCTGTCACAGGTGAGAAAACACCATGCCTGTCCCATGTCTTGTGATCCTAGAGCCATAGCTGAGGAGCTTCCTGCTGATGATGGAGAGAAGCATGGACAGATGCCGAGACAGAACACACAGCATGGGTGTAAGGGCGGGGTCAGGGGGCAGGATGGCAGACAGGGCACCTCCAAACCCTCCTGTATGGCCTGCAAGGAGGCCCTTGATCAGGGTTCCAGGCACCCAGGCAGATGGAGAAAGAGGTCAGAACAGACCCAGAGGAGGGAGACTGGGCTCTGCCTGGGGAGATCAGAGGTTCTCTCAGCCCCTCAACCTTACCCACTTCCCAGAAGCCCATCCTGGCCTGTCACCCACAGAGAGATGTCATCACCAGCAACGCCTACACCCTTTTCTTTTTGTTTGAAGAAATATTTATTGAGGTGAAATATACCTATGTAATTTACCACCTTTACCATTTTTAAGTGTGAAGTCTACTGTTCATAAATACATTTATAGGCTGGGCACGGTGGCTCACTGTTGTAATCCCAACACTTTGAGAGGCCAAGGCAGGTGGATCATTTGAGATCAGGGGCTCAAGACCACCCTGGCCAACATGGGGAAAATCCATCTGTACTAAAAATACAAAATAATAATAATAATGATAATAATTAGCCGAGCATGGTGGCACATGCCTGTAGTCCCAGCTACTTGGGAGGGTTGGGCAGGAGTTGCACTTAATTGCAGGAGGCGGAGGTTGCAGTGAGCTGAGATCATGCCACTGCACTGCAGCCTGGGCAACAGAGAGAGACACTCTCTCAAAATTAATTAATTAATTAATTAGTATTCTTTTTTTTTTACCCTCCACCCTTCCCTTCCTGGCCTCTGGTAGCCACCATTCTACTCTCTACCTTTGTGAGATCCACCTTTTAGCTCCTGCATATGAGTGAGAAATGGAAATACTTGTAATGACCTCCAGTTCCATTCATGTGGCTGTAAATGACAGGATGTTACTCTTTCTATGGATGAGTTGTCCCTATTGTGTGTGTGTACCACATTCTCTCCATCCATTCACCCACTGATGGGCGGGTAGGTTGATCCACATCTTGGCTACTGTGAACACTGCTGGAACAGTCATGGGAGTGCAGATGTCACTTCGATACGCTGATGTCCTTTCCTTTGGGTTTACACCCAGTCATGGAATTGCTAGATCCTCTGGAAGTGTCTTTTTACATTTTGTTTTATGGTTTTTGTTTTTGTTTTTGTTTTTTTTAGACAGTTTCACTCTTGTTGCCCAGGCTGGAGTGCAGTGGTGCCATCTGGGCTCACTGCAACCTCCACCTCCAGGATTCAAGAGATTCCCCAGCCTCAGCCTCCCAAGTAGCTGGGTTACTGGCTCCCACCACCACACTCGGCTAATTTTTATATTTTTAGTAGAGACAGAGTTTCGCTATATTGGCCAGGCTGCTCTTCAACTCCTGACCTCAAGTGACCTACCCACCTCGGCCTCCCAATGTGCTGGGATTACAGGCATGAACCACTGTGCCCGACCTCATTTTATTTTTTGAGGAACTTCCATACTCTTCTCCTCTGTAATGGCTGTACTAATTTACATTCGTATCAGCAGTGTACCAGATGCAACCCTGGTTGACTCAGCAGAGCAAGAGACGTGCAGTAAGAGAGAATTTAGCTTATTTATGCACACGACACTTCCACTCACTCACTCGTTCAGCCAATGCCCCATGCTCTGGCTGTGCAGTGTGGAATCTTTTCCTATTGTTGCCATAACAAATTTCCACAAGCTTCGTGGATGAAAACATGTTTTTCTTAATTATCTCACAGTGCTGTAACTCAGAAGTATGAACTGCATTTCACTGGGCTGATATCAAAGGGACAGTAAGGCTGGATTTCTTTTTAAGGTTCCAAGCAAGAATCTGCTCCTTAACGTTTCCCAGCTCCTAGAGGCTCCCACGTTCCTGGGCCCCTGGTCCCCTTCCTTCTTCCTCCTTCCTCAAAGCCCACAAAGGCTGGTCACGTCTCACATGGCATCATTCAGACTCTTCTTCTTTACCCATACCTTTTTCTCTGAATCCTGCTCTGCCTTCTTCCTCATCTTTTAAGGACTTTGGGATTCTATTGGGGTCACCAAGATAATCCATCTCAATCTCCCTAAAATCATCCAGCGTACCCTCTTTTTAAGTTCAGCTGATTAGCAACCGTAATGCCATCTGCAATCTTCATTCCTCCTTTCCTGTAAAATAACATATTCACAAGCTATGGAGGCTAAGACAGGGACATTTTGGGGGTGGGGCAGCATTCTCCTGCCTTCCACAAATGGTAAACAGGATGCATTTGGCCTCTGCTCTTGGGACGCTGATATTGCAGATGGGTAAATGCGAGGGCAGAGAATGAATGCACAAGGGTACCAATAAATGAATGATCCATTGGGAAGCATCTGTGCACCAAATCTGGGGTTTTTTGTGTGTGTGTGTTTTTTTTGTTTTCTTTTTTTTTTTTGAGTAGAGTCTCTCTCTGTTCCACAGGCTGGAGTGCAGTAGCACAATCTCAGCTCATTGCAACCTCTGCCTCCTGGGTTCATGCAATTCTCCTGCCTCAGCCTACCGAGTAGCTGGGATTACAGCTGTGCGCCACCACACTCGGCTAATTTTTTTGGTATATTTTTTAGTAGAAATGAGGTTTCACCATGTTGTGCAGGCTGTCTCAAACTCCCAATCTCAAGTGATCCCACCGCCTTAGCGTCCCTAAGTGCAAAGATTACAGGCGAGAGCTACTGCGCCCAGCCAGGATTTAAAATAAGTAATAGATAATGCTGAGTATATAATTTCAGGTGACAGAGAAGGTCTCACTGATCAGATAATATTTGTGACCTTAATGGAAAAAATGGATTCAACCCTTGGAAGATTGGCGGAAGGATTTTCCACACTGAGCTCTCAGCCGTGAAGGCACAAAGGTGGAAACATTCTTAGTTCAAGGAAGAGGCTCTGCCTCAAATGCTGGGAATGAGATGGGGAGAATGACAAGACAACTGTAGAGAGATGGAGAGCACACTGGGTACACAGGAAACTAAGGAGGAACAAGGAGCATGTTTTTGATACTCACAGCCCTTGGATTCAACTCAGAGCTAACTAGGAATCCCTACCTGATTAACAGTGACCGACATGAAAATAAGGGAGGCCCAGGTGCGTAACTGGAATCTAGGAGACCGTGGAAAAGGCAATTCCCGCCCCACTGGTGAAACGTAGGGTTGATTTACACACTAAATGAATGAAAGATGGATATAAGCTATGCTTGTGAGGTAGAATCATTTGCAGGGAGGGCTTGCTGGGTTTGATTTTTCCTAGTAGTTTAATCCTTGTTTCATTAATTTCTTTCTGAGATGTGTTTTTTTTCTACATCTAAATCAATACCTGGCAGAGGAGCGATAGACACATGAGGGGTGGTGCAAATGAAGGGACCTAGTATAATATAATATACAAGACTGTGGATGGGGGCTCACACCTGTAACCCAACACTTTGGGAGGCCAAGGCGGGTAGATCACTTAAGGGTAGGAGTTTGAGACCAGCCTGGCCAACATGGTGAAACCCCGTCTGTACTAAAAATACAAAAATTAGCCTGGTGCATTGGCACCTGCCTGTAATCCCAGCGACTGGGGAGGCTGAAGCAGAAGAATGGCTTCAACCCTGGAGGCAGAGGTTGAACTGAGATCGCATCACTGCACTCCAGCCTGACACAGGGGGACTCTGTCTCAAAAAATAAAAATAAAACATACATAATTATAATATGACACACAGAAATTACAAAGGCAACTGGATACCAACCATCATTTTTCTATTTCTCTGTATTTAATTCTTTGACCCTTTATCTTATCCATTAAACAATCAGGTTAAACCTCTTCCTTATTTGGCTTTCTGTGAGCTTGGGATCATATGGAAAATGTGAAAGCCTCCTGAACCCACCAGCACAGGTCCTGGAATAGAGAACGTGCTCTGTTCATGGCATAAAACTTGCCACTTCACCCAAATCCCCCAATTCATCTCTACTTCCAATCACCTATGGAGATACAGATAGATCATGGGGAGGTAAACACTAATACTCTTTGGAGTGAGCTCAGATCTTGGACTCAGAGACCAGTGCCAGCACTAGCCCCTGGTCACATTTCGTACTAACTCACAGAAGGACAGGCTGTATTGAAACAATAAACGACGGAGAGGGCGGTCCTTCCCCGTGCTTCTCGGGTGGAATAGCAGCCTAATATATGTCTCAGCAGATCACAAAAAGTAGCATGTTGTTCCTGGGCTACATCATTATTTCATGGCTGTTTGATTTAAGTCAGTTCTACTTCACTTTTTTTATCTTGATTTCATTTTTTCTTTCTTTTCTTGGAGAATGTAATTTTTTTTGAGTCAAGAGGGTTGTGGTGGTAGAAACTGTAAAGCACATTCGCTGTGTATCAATCCCAATCCAGTCTTCCCAGAGAAGATTCTAAACACCTCCTGGAATGCACCTGGGCCTATACCAATTCCTATCACTCACCGTCACTCCAGGGAGACAGAACACACAGAGAACACATTACACAGGCAGGTTCATTACTAACAGATAAGCAGCGAGTGACAACAGAAACCTACATTTCAATGTGAGCCAGTCCCTCAAGGCTCAGAAAAGCTGCTCGAGACATGTGGAGTCACCCCATATGCAGTGTATCTGGGGGAAATCAAAAAGCAGCCCAGCCTGGGTTTTGTACCCTGGAGCCACAGGAAGCACTCAGCTAAAGCACTGCATGACGTCCTCCTCCAGGAAGAACAGGAAGACAGCCCAGGCTGTTCTGGGATGTTCCTCCTGATCTCAGGACGTTGCTGTCTTAGTCCATTTTTGTTGCTCTAAAGGAACACTTGAGCCTGGGTAACTTCTAAAGAAAAGAAATGTGTTTGCCTCACAGTTCTGCAGGCTGTACTGGAAGCATGGCACCAGCATCTATTTCTTGTGACGGCCTCAGGCTGCTCCCACTCTGGCAGAAGGGAAGGAGGGTCTGTCTGTGCAGAGACCACAGAGATCACACGGCAAGAGAGGGACCAAGGGGGAGGGGGAGCGATGGAGCTTCCAAGCTCTTTTAACAACCAGTTCTCCAGGAACTAATAGAGGGGGAACTTGCTAACCCCGTCTCCTTGGAACAGCATTGATCTGTTCATGATGGATCCACCTCCATGACCCAAACAACTCCCAAGAGGCCCAACCTCCCACCCTGGGGGTTACATTTCAATGTGAGGTTTGAAGGGGTCAAACATCTAAACTAAAGCAGTTGTATCCTCAGCACGTTCTATGGTTACTACAACTGAGAAAGCAGGAGGAAGCTAGGTCTCCCGCCATCTGGGTGCTTGTCCTAAAGAGACGTTGTATGTGGTTACCTGTCAATCAAGAAATGTGAGACAATTCATATAGAGGAACTGCTATGATTAGCTTCTTATTGGTGTCTTGTCTTCCTCCAGGTAACTCCAGACACCTGCATGTTCTGATTGGGACCTCAGTGGTCATCATCCCCTTTGCTATCCTCCTCTTCTTTCTCCTTCATCGCTGGTGTGCCAACAAAAAGAGTAAGTCTCACGAAGCAGAAGCCAGAGAGCTCAGGGCCATGTGGGGAAGCAGGATGGGAGCACTCAGGTGTGTGTTCCTCACAGGCAGGATGGTCCCTGGCCCAAGGCAGGAGCCACAGAGGCAGGACTTTCTAGAGAGAGCACCAGACTCCCTGCCTCTGCCTTCAGCTCACAGACCATTGCCTGATTCTGAACCGTATCCTCACATCCCCTGCAGCCACTCACATCCAGGAGAAGGTTCCATGACAGGCAGAAAGTGGGACACAGAATCAATAGGATGGGAACTCAGAGCTATACATGGGATGGATCCTTGAGCTCAGAGAGATAGAATGTCTGAGTCTGCTGTTGGCAACTGAGGGACCTCAGGCACCTATGGCCTCCCCCTGTATGTTGGTATCTGCTTATGAAATGAGGACCCAGAAGTGCCCTCCGAGCTGTTTTGACGACTTCCGTCTTCTACAGATGCTGTTGTAATGGACCAAGAGCCTGCAGGGAACAGAACAGTGAACAGGGAGGTAGGTGCTCCTCCGCCCAGCCTCGTGGCTAGTCTTATTCCCAAAGAGTCCTGGAAAATGTGAGCACCCTCCCTCACTCAGCATTTCCCTCCCTCCAGGACTCTGATGAACAAGACCCTCAGGAGGTGACATACGCACAGTTGAATCACTGCGTTTTCACACAGAGAAAAATCACTCGCCCTTCTCAGAGGCCCAAGACACCCCCAACAGATACCAGCGTGTAACACGGAACTTCCAAATGCTGAGCGCAGATCCAAAGTTGTCTTCTGTCCACTAGCACCACAGTCAGGCCTTGATGGGATCTTCTAGGGAGACAATAGCCCTGTCTCAAAACCGGGTTGCCAGCTCCCATGTACCAGCAGCTGGACTCTGAAGGCGTGAGTCTGCATCTTAGGGCATCGCTCTTCCTCACACCACGAATCTGAACATGCCTCTCTCTTGCTTACAAATGTCTAAGGTCCCCACTGCCTGCTGGAGAGAAAACACACTTGCTTAGCCCACAATTCTCCATTTCACTTGACCCCTGCCCACCTCTCCAACCTAACTGGCTTACTTCCTAGTCTACTTGAGGCTGCGATCACACTGAGGAACTCACAATTCCAAACATATAAGAGGCTCCCTCTTAACACGGCACTTAGATACGTGCTATTCCACCTTTCCTCAGAGTATCTTTCAGCCTTCTGTCAGCAGTAAAACTTATAAATTTTTTTTATAATTTCAATGTAGTTTTCTCTTCTTCAAGTAAACATGTCTGCCCTCATGGTTTCGTCAATGGGACTCTTTTCTTGCCTAAGGCTTCCGGTGTTATCATTACCACGTCCACATAACCCCATCTGTTCTCCGCTGGGTTCTCACCCCTGGACTCTGAGCTTCTGGAAGCAGGGTGGAGCCTGAATTGTCTCTGAGACTCCAATTTCCATCCAAAGATGCAGCACATAGGAGGTTCCAAGGATGGTGAATCAGATGAACAAGTGATATTCTTACTCTCTGCAGATCTGGAAAGCTGGCAGAGTCATTCCACGATGAAACATTTGTAGAGTCATAGGCCTTGTTAGTCTCATCTCCACAGGGACACGTATCAACACATCATCTTTCATACTACTATAAATAGACAGTCACTCCTCCATATCTCTGGGGTTTACACATGTTTATTGAATCAGCAATAAATCAAAAATATTTTGAGAAAAAAAATCCCCGAAGTTTCAAAAAGCAAAAAACTATGTTGAATCGACACAAATTGAGTGGCGTGTAGGCTGTGTCAGGAATTATAAGTAATCAAGAGATGATTTCATGTATACAGGAGGATGTGCATGGGTTCTATGCAATTGCTATGCTATTTTTTTTTTTTTTGAGACAGTCTCACTCTCTCACCCAGGCTGGAGTGCAGTGGCGTGATCTCAACTCACTGCAACCTCCGCCTTCCAGGTTCAAGCGATTCTCTTCCCTCAGCCTCCCCAGTAGCCTCCCCTAGGATTACAGGCACGTGCCACCCTGCACAGATAAATTTTTTTGTGTGTATATTTTTAGTAGAGATGGGGTTTCAGAATGTTGGACCAGCTGGTCTTGAACTCCTGACCTTGTGATCTACCCAGCTCAGCCTCCCAAAGTGCTGGGATTACAGGCGTGAGCCACGGTGCCCAGCTTCACTATGCCATTTCATGCAAGGGGCTTGAGCATCTGCAGATTTTGGTATCTGAATGGGGATCCTGGAACCAATCACCCAGGTATAGTGAAGGACCATGGTATATAATTTTTATTTGTCAATCTTAAAAATAAAGCATAAAAAATTTACAACAACAAGATAAAAAATAAGAAGTGTTTTTATAGTGTGAGGATAAGTTTAGATTTATTTTTTCCTACGTGTAACCCTATGGTCCTGTGTTATTTGTTGAGAAAATATTCTATTCCACCTTAAACTACATGGCAGCCTTTGTCAACTATAAAGGGACTGTGTATCCACAGATGTATTTTAGACACAGTTTTCTGTCCAGTGGTTCTCTGTATCCCCTCTCATGAGGATGCTGCATTTTATATAAACTTATAGAACCCCTTAAAATTTGGTAACCTGAGTCCTCTGATTTGTTATTATAGGTTATTTAGTTTGCTTTTTTTTTTTTTCTTGAGACAGACTCTTCCTCTGTCACCCAAGCTGGAGTTCAGTGGCTTGAGCTCAGCTCACTGCAACCTCCGTCTCCCAGGTTCAAGCTATTCTGATGCCTCTGGTTTAGTAGTAGAAACTCAAGCAGGAAAATTAGAATGGCTTCTTGTCACAATTACTCTGATAATGTTAATAATACCTGTTAGACATTTTGCACATTACATATGAAGAAGAGTTTGAATCTCAGATAAAAACAAAAATACATCAAAAATCTTTAATGTAAGCACAGAATTCAATCATCTCGTGTATGAGAGGTTGGATCTGAGACGTCTTTTGAGTCTGGTCGTAGTGAAGGACGCAAGGTGTCAATTCTAGTGAGAACAATTTCCAGGAAGCCATGTTCCGCTCTTGAGCGAGCACCCACTGGGCCTCATGCAAGGTAGAAAGAGCCTGCGTACGTCACCCTCCCATGATGTGGTCAACATGTAAACTGCATGGGCAGGGCGCCAAATAACATCCTGTGCGCTGCTGAGCTGAGCTGGGGCGCGGCCGCCTGTCTGCACAGACAGCACCATGTCGCTCATGGTCGTCAGCATGGTGTGTGTTGGTGAGTCCTGGAAGGGCATCGAGGGAGGGAGTGCGGGGATGGAGATCGGGGCCCAGAGTTGGAGATATAGGCCTGGAAGTGGAGTTATGGGCCTAGAGATGGAGTGATGGGCCTAGAAGTGGAGATCTGGGCCTGGAGTGGAGATCTGGGCCTGGAGTGGAGATATGGGCCTGGAGGTTGAGATATGGGCCTGCAGTAGAGATATGGGCTTGTAGTGGAGACATGGGCCTGGAGATGGAGATATGGGCCTGGAGATGGAGATATGGGCCTGCAGTAGAGATAGGGGCCTGGAGTGGAGATATGGGCCTGGAGTGGAGATATGGGCCTGGAGGTGGAGATATGGGCCTGGAGGTGGAGATATGGGCCTGGAGTGGAGATATGGGTCTGGAGGTGGAGATACGGGCCTGCAGTAGAGATATGGGCCTGGAGTGGAGATATGGGCCAGGAGTGGAGTTATGGGCCTAGAGATGGATATCTGGGCCTGGAGTGGAGATATGGGCCTAGGAAGGAGATATGGGCCTGGGTGTGGAGATATGGGACTGGAGAGGTGATATGGGCCTGGAGTGGAGATATGGGCTTAGGGTGGAGATCTGGGCCTGGGGCGGAGATATGGGACTGGATTGGAGATAGGGGCCTAGGGTGGAGATCTGAGCCTGGATTGGCGATATGGGCCTAGGGTGGAAATATCAGCCTGGAGTGGAGATATGGGCTTGGGGTGGGGATATGGGCCTGGAAACTGGGTCTCTGCACAGCCGACAGCCCTGTTCTTGGGTGCAGGTAGGCACTGAGGGTGAGTTTAACTTCAGCCCAGGAAGGGCCTGGCTGCCAAGACTCACAGCCCAGTGGGGGCAGCAAGGGAGGCCTGGTTTGCCTGCAGATGGATGGTCCATCATGATCTTTCTTTCCAGGGTTCTTCTTGCTGCAGGGGGCCTGGCCACATGAGGGTGAGTCCTTCTCCAAACCTTCGGGTGTCATCTCCCCACATAAGAGGATTTTCCTGAAACAGGAGGGAAGTCCTGTCGGGGAGTCTCTCATAAACTAGGAAGAGAGGACCCTGGGGTGCTCAGCCCACATTTCTGACCTCGCCTCCCTGGCCTCTCAACCCCTTGGCAGAGTCAAGTTCTGTGGGGACCAGGGTTAGACTGGGGTGCTCAAAGCTGGGGTGTGTGGTTGGGAAGTGGTAGGAACAGCAGATCCTCTGAGGACAAAGGTGTTACTCACACACTTCAGCGTTTCCATGATGGTAGGGGCTGCAGTGTGGCTGCTGTCATTCTACCAGAAGAGGTGGGAAACCACAGCCATGGCCCTGACATTCCAAATCCTCTGATGGGGGCTCAGTTGTTTATTTTCGTTCAGGCATCCGCTGATATCCATTCACAAAGGACATGCCCTCCACCTCATGTCTACCCTGTGTTGTTTTATGTGAGTAATCTTACAGTATTAAAATCTAGTAGGAGTCTCTTTACTCAGCACTTGCTCAAAGTTCTCAGCTGAGGCTTTTGTTGTAGGGAGACACCATGTCTTTGCGGGATGGGTCCTTCCTTCAGCCCTGGGCACCAAGGTGTGATAGTAGCCATAGAAACGTGGAAAGCGAGGAGAATCTTCTGAGCACAGGGAGGGAAGGGCAGTTCCACATCCTCCTCTCTAAGGCGGCGCCTCCTTCTCCCCAAGGTGGTCAGGACAAGCCCTTGCTGTCTGCCTGGCCCAGCCTTGTGGTGCCTCTAGGACATGTCATTCTTCGGTGTCACTCTTATCTTGGGTTTAACAACTTCAGTCTGTAAAAGGAAGGTGGGGTGCCTGTCCCTGAGCTCTACAACAGAATATTCTGGAACAGCCTTTTCATGGGCCCTGTGACCCCCGCACACACAGGGACATACAGATGTCGGGGTTCACACACACACTCCCCCAGTGGGTGGTCAGCACCCAGCAACCCCCTGGTGATCGTGGTCATAGGTCAGAGGGCTCCTGTCTTGGATTCTCCTTGTCCCACCTCCTGAATCCCAGAGCTTCTGTTGGGCATGTCCTTGAGGGTCCCATCACGCAGGCCCTGACTGTATTTGTGGTAAAGGGGGATTGAATACAGGGAAATGGGTGCTGTGGTGGGAAGAATAATTGTCCCCAGTGATGACTACATTCTAATCCCTGGAGTCTGTGACTATTTATGTTATAGGGGAAGGGACTGAAGGGGAAGATGGAGCTCATGGGGAGACAGCCTGGACTGTCCCACTGGGCTCAGTGTAATCACAAGGGTGCACATGAAAGGAGGAGGAAGAGGGGAGTGGGGATTAGAGCAGTCCAGTGGAAGTCTTCACCAGCTTTGAAGGTGGAGGAAGGCCAAGATCCATGAATGCAGGTGGCCTATAGAGGCTGGAAAAGTCAAGGAACTGATTCTCCAGAGTCTCCAGAGGGAACAAAGCCCTGCAGATGCCTTGATTTTAGCCCAGGAAAAATAGGGTCCAATTTCTGTCTCCAGTACTGGAAGGTGTCAGTGTGGTCTCTCCTGCTGCCATGCTTCTGATAATTTTCTACAGCAGCAACAGGAAACCAACACTGGAACCCAGGTCAAGGACAAGTTAAGAAACAACCCAAGGAAAGCCAGGCATGGTGGCAGGTGCATGTAATCCTAGCGACTCAGGAGGCTGAGGGCAGGAGAATCACTTGAACCCAGGAGACAGAGGTTGCAGTGAGCCTAGACCACACCACTTCACTCCAGCCTGGGTGAAGGAGTGAGACTCTGTCTCCATAATTAATTAATTAATTAAAGAAACCAAACAAGGAGAAGGTTGGCTACCCTGAGATCAGCAAGGGTGGGATGATGATGCCACCACCAGGCTCCATCCACATAGGGAGGGGTTGATACTCCTCCAACCAGCACCAGGAGCCAGCCTATGGAAGCTGGCACCATGGAGAAGGCACAGGCATGGCAAGAGTGGCTCCCAGTCCCCACCAGGAACAGGGTGTGTGGACACTGGTGCCTGCCTTATTCATCAGTTCATACCTTCTGCCAAGGATTGCAATTCATCCAAAAGAGATTGAACCAGGCTGATAAGAGCCTGGATGTGCAGCCTATCCTGGTTCCTCTTTCACCCCCACATAAACAGCAGGAAATACATTAGTGTGAAATAGATACAACACCCCAAGAGATGAGGCTCAGCCCAGTGGGAAGGGAATCAGAGGCTACTAGAGACAGAGGGACAGAGAAGAGGGAGGGAGACAGATGGAAGGACCTGCACCAGGAGTTAAGGGCACAGAAAAGAACATGAAGACACAGAGAGGAAGGAGAGAGACAGACACCAGCAAGGGGAAGCCTCACTCATTCTAGGTGCCATGGATGGGATGATAAAGAGAGACACCTTCTAAACTCACAACCTCTCTTCCTAGGAGTCCACAGAAAACCTTCCCTCCTGGCCCACCCAGGTCCCCTGGTGAAATCAGAAGAGACAGTCATCCTGCAATGTTGGTCAGATGTCAGGTTTCAGCACTTCCTTCTGCACAGAGAAGGGAAGTTTAAGGACACTTTGCACCTCATTGGAGAGCACCATGATGGGGTCTCCAAGGCCAACTTCTCCATCGGTCCCATGATGCAAGACCTTGCAGGGACCTACAGATGCTACGGTTCTGTTACTCACTCCCCCTATCAGTTGTCAGCTCCCAGTGACCCTCTGGACATCGTCATCACAGGTGAGAGTGTCCGGACATTCTCATTGTCATTGGGATGCAGAGTGAATGATCCACGACTTGGAACCCCCAGGTAGTTGTAAGGAAGATGAGCTTGGTATTCTTATGGAGAGAGACTGACTTGCTGAGGTTTGTACCAACAGAGACAGAGAAACAGGAGACACAAGTACAGACCAGGTGTCATAACAGAGGACAGACACAGGGGCCATACAGGGAGTTAGAAAAGACAGAAAGAGTTAAAAGAGACAGACAGACAGACATGTCCCAGAGAGAGGTGTCCCTCCATGCTGACTTTGCTCACAGACCTGGCACAGGTTAGAAGTTTCATTTCTGTTTTACCTCCACAAAGTGTTCTCTACCAGGAGAACCCAAGGACACCCATATTTATGACCTGAGTTGGGCCCTGTGGCCTCAGGCCTTGTGGCACCTACAGGCCATGTTTATTCTGACACCTCTGCCTTCCATGTAATGGAGAGTAATCGTCCCAGGATATCATGGCCCCAGAACACCAACCCCTGTATGCTGTGTGAACTTGTGGTCTCCAGACTGGATTCTGTGGCTCACATTCCAAATAACCCCACATATGAAAGGATCACTGAGAGGCACAGAGAAAAATCAGGAACACCAAAAAGCAAAGACATAAACACACAGAGAATGAGCCAGAGGAAGGAGATTGAGAGACTCACAGACACATAAAGAGAGAGAAAAGAGGGCAGAGGAGTGGTGAGAATGATGGCAGGGAGCAGAGAAAAGCACTAAAATTAGAGTCCTGAGAGAGAGGCACAAGGACATAGAAACATGGAGATGTGGGGATGAATTGCAGAGATTCCAAAGAGAACTAGAGAGACCGAGAGGCAGAGCAAGACAGATGATAGATGGATAGATATAGATAGATGATAAATAGGTAGATGATAGATAATAGGTTAAAGATACATAGATGATGATTGATTGATTCATTAATAGATAATACATAGAGATGATGATGATGAAGACAGATAATACGTACAGATAGAGAGGCAGACAGAAATCATAGAGAGAGAGATGATACATACATATAAATAACAGATGATTGATGGATAGATAGACAAGTGATAGATACATAGATGATATATAGATATAGATGACAGGTAGAGAATTTGTAGATAGGCACCGAATAGATAAATAGATAGATCGACAGATAATAGATAGAAATATGCAGAAAGTTATGAACAGGACACAACGTGAGAAACTTAGAATTTAAAAAAGTAACATCAAGTCAACCAATCCAAGGAGAGTCAGAGAGAATAAAAGAATCCAAAAAGGGAAAACATATCTAGAGGTGGGGAAGCGAGGTCAGAGACCTAGAGAGACAGAGAAGGTGGAAGAAGGAAATAGACATGAAGAGAGATGGGGTGGAGGGTGAGAGAGAGAGAGAGAGAGAGCATTAGGTCATAGAGCAGGGGAGTGAGTTCTCAGCTCAGGTGAAGGGAGCTGTGACAAGGAAGATCCTCCGTAAGGAAAATGCCTCTTCTCCTCCAGGTCTATATGAGAAACCTTCTCTCTCAGCCCAGCCGGGCCCCACGGTTCTGGCAGGAGAGAGCGTGACCTTGTCCTGCAGCTCCCGGAGCTCCTATGACATGTACCATCTATCCAGGGAGGGGGAGGCCCATGAACGTAGGTTCTCTGCAGGGCCCAAGGTCAACGGAACATTCCAGGCCGACTTTCCTCTGGGCCCTGCCACCCACGGAGGAACCTACAGATGCTTCGGCTCTTTCCGTGACTCTCCATACGAGTGGTCAAACTCGAGTGACCCACTGCTTGTTTCTGTCACAGGTGAGGAAACCCCATATCTGTCTCATGTCCTATGATCCTAGAGCCTTAGCTGAGGAGCTTCCTGCTGATGATGGAGAGAAGCATGGACAGATGCAGAGAGAAGACGAAGCTTGGGTGTGAGGGAGGGATCAGGGCACAGGATGGCAGACAGGGCACCTCCAAACCCTCCTACACGGCCTGCATGAAGGCCCGCGGCCAGGGCTCCAGGCACACAGGCAGATGGAGAAAACGGTCAGGAGAGACCCAGAGGAGAGAGACTGGGCTCAGTTTGGGAAGATCAGAGGTTCCCTCAGCCCCTCAACATTACCCATTTCCCAGAAGCCCATCCTGGCCTCTCACCCACACAGGGATGTCATCACCAGCAACCCCTACACCCTTTACTTTTGTTTGAAGAAATATTTATTGAGGATAAATATACCTATATAGCTTACCACCTTTAACATTTTTTTTTTTTTTGAGGCAGAGTCTAGCTCTGTCCCCTATGCTGGAGTGCAGTGGCACAATCTCAGCTCACTGCAACTTCCGCCTCCTGGGTTCAAGTGATTCTCCTGCTTCAGCCACCTGAGTAGCTGGTGCTACAGGCGCGCACCACCACGCCAGGCTACTTTTTGTATTTTTAGTAGAGAGGGGGTTTCACCATGTTGGTCGAGCTGGTCTCCAACTCCTGACCACGTGATCCACCCGCATCTGCCTCCCAAAGTGCTGGGATTACAGGCATGAGCCACCACGCCCAGCCACATTTACCATTTTTAAGTGTAAAGTCTAGTGGTCATAAATACATTTATATATATATATATATATATATATATACACACACACACACATATATAAACATATATATATATATATATATATATATATATATTTTTTTTTTTTTTTTTTACCCTCCACCCTTTTATTCCTGGCCTCTGGAAGCCACCATTCTACTCTCTACCTTCATGAGATCCACCTTTTAGCTCTGTATATGGGTGAGAAATGGGAATCTTTGTAATGACTTCCAGTTCCATCCATGTGGCTGCAAATATCAGGATGTTATTCTTTCTATGGATGAGTAGTCTCCACTGTGCGTATGTACTACATTCTCTCTATCCATTCATCCACTGATGGGCAGGTAGGTTGACTCCACATCTTGGCTACTGTGAACAGTGCTGCACCAATCATACGAGTGCAGATATCACTTCGATATATTGATTTACTTTCCTTTGGATATAAACCCAGTAGTGAAATTGCTGGATACTATGAAAGTTCTCTTTTTAGTTATTCGTTTGTTGTTTTGTTTTTGTTTTTGAGACAGTTTCCCTCTGTGCCCAGGCTGGAGTACAAGTGAAGTCATCTTGGCTCATTGCAACCTCCGCCTCCTGGGTTCAAATGATTTTCCTGCCTCAGCCTCCCTAGTAGCTGGGATTACAGGTGCACGCCACCATGCCTGGCTACTTTTTGTTTTTTTTAGTATAGATGGGGTTTCCCCATGTTGGCTGGGCTGCTCTCAAACTCATGACCTCAACTGAGGTGCCCGCCTCGGTCTCCCAAAGTGCCGGGATTACAGGCATGATCCACCTCACCCAACCTCTTTTTAGTTCTTTAAAGGACTTCCACACTTTTCTCCGTAAAGGCTGTACTAATTTACACTCCTACCAACAGGGTATTAGGGTTCTCCTTTCTCTACCACTTTGGCAGGATTTCCTTTGCCTGTCTTGCAGCTAAAAGCCATTTTATTTTATTTCATTTTATTTTGAGATGGAGTTTCGCTCTTGTCACCCAGGCTGGAGTGCAGTGGTGCGATCTCGGCTCACCACAACCTCCACCTCCCAGGTTCAAGCGATTCTCCTGCCTCAGCCTCCCGAGTAGCTGGAATTACAGGCACACGCCACCACGCCCAACTAAATTTTGTATTTTTAGTAGAGACAGTGTTTCTTCATGTGGGTCAGACTGGTCTCAAACTCCCGACCTTATGAGGTTCACCCACCTCAGGCTCTCAAAGGTCTAGGATGACAGACGTGAGCCACCACGCCCGGCCTAAAATCCATTTTAATGGGGTGAGATGAAAACTCACTTTGATTTTAATTTGTGTTTCTCTGATGATGAGTGAAACTGAGCACTTTTTAGTATGTGGGGAAATTTCATGTGTTTTGCTCCTTTTTCAATTAAATCGTTTGTTTTATTGAGTTGTTTGAGCTTCTTATATTTCTAGTTATTAATCCCATCTCAGATGCATAGTTTGCACATATTTGCTCCCAATCTGTGGGTTGTCTCTTCACTTTGTTGGTTTATTTTTAGCGGTGCAGAAGTTGCTTAGTTTGAGGTAATCCCAATGGTCTATTTTTGCTTCGATTACTTGTGTTTTGAAGGTTTAAAACAAAATGTCTTCCTTCAGACAAATGTCCTGGAGCATTTCCCCAATATTTTCTTCTACGTGTTTCATAGGTTCAGGCCTTAGACTCACATCTTTAATCCATTTTCATTTGAGTTTTGTGTATAGTGACAGGTAGAGGTGCAGTTTCATTCCTCTGCATGTAGATGTCCAGGTTTCCCTGCACTGTTTATTGAAAAGACTGTCCTTTCCTGATTGTGAGTTCTTGGCACCTTTGTCAAAGTCCATTGGATGGGCTGGGCATGGTGGCTGACACCTGCAATTTCAGCACTTTGGGAGCCCAAGGCGGGTGGATCACCTGAGGCCAGGAGTTCAAGATTAGTCTGGCCGACGTGATGAAACATTGTCTCCACTAAAAATATAAAAATTAGCTGAGCATGGTGGTCAGCACCTGTAATACCACTACTCAGGAGTTTGAGGCCAGAGAATTGATTGAACCCAGGAGGCTGTGGTGGCAGTGAACCGAGATTGCACCTCTGCACTCCAGCCTGGGTGACAGAGCGAGACTCCATCTCAAAAGAAAAAAGAAAAAAACATTGGAGGTAAATGCATGGATTATATCTGTGTTCTTCATTCTGCTCCATTGTTCTACGTGCCTTTCTTTATGCCAATGTGATGCTGTTTTGCTTACTACAGCTCTGTAACATATTTTGAGATCAGGTAGTGTGATGCTCCTGTTTTCTCTTTATACCTTGAAGTCTCAAGACAGTGGGCGTCACATACAAAAATTACGGAAAAAAGGATCCCAGGACTCCCAGGGCCCAATATTAGATAACAGAGTGTTGGCCATGAACCAACCTCAAAGATTTCCATTGAGTAGAGGACAGACACCCTCATTTCCTCACCTCTCTCCTGTCTCGTGTTCTAGGAAACCCTTCAAATAGTTGGCCTTCACCCACTGAACCAAGCTCCGAAACCGGTGAGTACAGAACCCTCTTATATCCGCTTTTGGAAACCTGGGGAGGTAGAAACCTTCGATGCAGGCATTGACTCAGCATCTCGCAGCTCTGACATTGTACGCCTGTCTTCTACCATCTCCGAACTCCAGATACTCCAACAGCGAAAGGGATCTGGGCCCAACCTAGGGCTCAGTGAAATCTCTTAATCTCTCATTTTATGGAGCTGAGACCTCCTACAAGCTAGAAGAATGATTGCCAATCTGACATCCTTCTCAGGAAAAATGCAATGTTTGTTCTGCCTGCATTCCTAACTGGAGGATAAATTCCTGGGGGCTTGAGAGAGGGAAGGGAAGGGAACATCTGATGAGGGCGAGGTGTTTTAGAGAAGTTCCACTTGCCAAGGAATGAATTACTGTTGGTCATGAAGCAACCCTGGCTGACTCAGCAGAGCAACAGCCTTGCCGTAACAGAGAACGGAGCTCATGCACGCACACTTCGACTCACTGACTCATTCAGCCACGGCCCCATGCTCAGGCTGTGCAGTGCGGAACCTTTTCCTATTGTTGCCATAACAAATTTCCACAAGATTCGTGGGTGAAAACAAAACGGTTTTTTAATTATCTTACAGTGCTGTAGCTCAAAGTAGGAAGTGCATCTTACTGGGCTAAAATCAAGGTGACAGCAAGGCTGCCTTCCCTCTGAGGATTCCAGGCAAGAATCTGCTTCTCACTTATCCCAGCTTCTAAAGGCTCCCAGTTCCTTGGCTCCTGTTCCCCTTCCTCCTTCCTCAAAGCCCACAAAGACTGGTCACATCTCACATGGCATCACTCAGTGCCTTCTTCCTTACCACACCTCTTTCTCTGAATGCTGCTCTCCCTTCTTCCTTATCTTTTGAAAACTTGGGGATTCTATTGGGTTCACCAAGATGAAAATCCCTCATAATCTCCTGGAAATCATCCAGGATACCCTTGTTTTAAGTTCAGCTGATTAGCAACCGCAATTCCATCTACAATCTTCATTCCTCCTTTCCATGTAAAATAACATATTCACAAGCTATGGAGGCTAGGACAGGGACATTTTGGGGTGGGACAGCATTCTCCTGCCTTCCACAAACGGTGAACAAGATGCATTTGGCTTCTGCCCTTGGGACACTGATATTGCAGATGGTTAAATGGGAGGGCAGAAAATGAATGCACAAGTGGATCTATAAATGAATGATCCATTGGGAAGCATCTGTGCATGAAATCTATTTTTTGTTTGTTCTTTTGTTTATTGAGACAGAGTCGCCCTCTGTCTTCCAGGCTACAGTGCAGTGTCACGATCTTGGCTCACTGCAACCTGCGTCTCCTGGATTCAAGTGATTCTCCTGCCTCCGCCTCTCGAGTAGCTGGGATTACAGGCAACTGCCACCGTGCCCGGCTAATTCTTTTTGTATATTTTTTGTAGAGAGGATGTTTCACCACGTTGGCCAAGCTTGTCTGAAACTCCCAACCTCAAGTGATCCGACCGTCTCAGCATGCCAAAGTAATGGGACTACAGGCGTGAGCCACTGTGCCCAGCCAGAATTCAAAATCAATAATAGATAATGCTGAGTGTATGATTTCAGGTGACAAAGAAGGTCTCACTATTCAGATATTTGTGACATTAATGAAAAACACGGATTGAACCCCTGAAAGATTGGCGGAAGGATTTTGCACACACAGCTGTCAGCCGTGAAGGCACAAAGGTGAAAACAATCTGATGTGGAAGGAAGAGGCTCTGCCTCAAATGCTGGGAATGATGTGGGGAGAATGACAAGATGACTGTAGAGAGACGGAGAGCACACTGGGTACACAGGAAACTAAGGAGCAACAAGGAGTGTGTGTTTGACACTCACAGCCATTGGATTCACCTCGGGGTAACCAGGAATCCCTACATGATTAATATGACTGACATGAAAATAAGGGAGGCTCAGTTGCATAACTGGAATCTAGGAGACCGTGGAAAAGGCAATTGCCACCCCACTGGTGAAATGTGGTGCTGATTTAGACACTAAATGAATGAAGTAGATGGATATAAGATATGTTTGTGAGGTAGAATCATTGACTGGAAACGCTTACTGGGTTTGATTTTCCTACTTGTTTAATCCTCGCTTAATTAATTTCTTTCTGAGATTTATTCATCCTACACATAAATCAATACCTGGCAAAGGAGTGACAGATATATGAGTGGTGGTGGAAATGAAGAGACTTATTATAGCATAATATACAAGTCTGTGAACAGTGGCTCACGCCTGTAACCTAGCACTGCAGGAGGCCAAGGTGGGTGGATTCCATGAAGTCAGGAGTTCCAGACCAGCCTGGCCAACGTGGTGAAACCCTATCTCTACTAAAAATACAAAAATTAGCCGAGCACGATGGTGCATCCCTGTAATCCCAGCTCCTATTCTGGAGGATGAAGCAGGAGAATGACTTCAACCCAGTAGGTGGAGGTTGCAGTGAGTGGAGATTGCATCACTGCACTCCAGCCTGGGGGACACAAGGAGACTCTATCTCAAAAAATAAAAATAAGAAATACATAAATATAATAAAACACACACGAATGACAAAGGCACCTGAATTCCAATCATCGTTTTTCTATTTCTCTATAATTACTTCTTTGATCCTTTATCTTATCCATTAGGCAATGAGCTTAAAACCTCTTCCCTATTTGGCTTTCTGTGAGAATGAGATCACATAGAAAATGTGAAAGCCCTCAGAATCCTCCAGCACAGATCGTGGAATAGAGAAAGTGCTCTGTTCATCGCAACAAAAAACTTGCCCACTCACCCAAATCCCCCACCTCACCCCTACTTCCAATCACCTGTGGAGATTCAGATAGGCTATGGGGAGGTAAACATTGATACTCCTTGGAGTGAGTCCAGATCTTGGAATCAGAGATCAGTGCCAGCACTAGCTCCTGCTCCCCTTTCCTACTAATTCACAGGAGGACAGGTGGTATTGAAGCAATAGATGGCCGAGGGGGTGGTCCTTCCCCCAGCCTCTCGGGTAGAACAGCAGCCTAACATGTGTCTCCCGAGATCACAAAGAGTAGCACGTTTCACACGGGCTTCAACACTATTTCCTGGCCATTTGACATAAGAGAATTCTACTTAGCTTTTTTTATCTTGATTTCACTTTTGTTTCCTTTTCTTGGAGAATGCAAGTTGTTTGATTCAAGAATGCTGTGGATGTAGAAATCCTAAAGCACATTCGCTGTGTATCAATCCCAGTGCAGTCTTCCCAGAGAAGACTCTAAATACCTCCTGGACTGCACCTGGGCTTATGCCAATTCCTATCACTCACCGTCACTCCAGGGAGACAGAACACACAGAGAATACATTACACAGGCAGGTTCATTACTAACAGATAAGCAGCGAGTGACAACAGAAACCTACATTTCAATGTGAGCCAGTCCCTCAAGGCTCAGAAAAGCTACTCGGGACATATGGAGTCACCCCATTTGCAGTGTAGCTGGGGGAAGCCAGAGAGCAGCCCAGCCTGGGTTTTGTACTGTGGAGCCACAGGAAGCACTCAGCTAAAGCACTGCATGACGTCCTCCTCCAGGAAGAACAGGAAGACAGCCCAGGCTGTTCTGAGACGTTCCTCCTGATCTCAGGACGTTGCTGTCTTAGTCCATTTTTGTTGCTCTAAAGGAACACTTGAGCCTGGGTAACTTCTAGAGAAAAGAGATTGGTTTGCCTCACAGTTCTGCAGGCTGTACTGGAAGCGTGGCACCAGCATCTATTTCTCGTGACGGCCTCAGGCTGCTCCCACTCTGGCAGAAGGGAAGGAGGGTCTGTCTGTGCAGAGACCACAGAGATCACACGGCAAGAGAGGGAGCAAGGGGGAGGGGGAGCGATGGAGCTTCCAAGCTCTTTTGAACAACCAGCTCTCCAGGAACTAATAGAAGGGGAACTTGCTAACCCCGTCTCCTTGGGACAGCATTGGTCTGTTCATGATGGATCCACCTCCATGACCCAAACACCTCTCAAGAGGCCCAACCTCCCACAGTGGGGGTGAAATTTCAATGTGAGGTTTGAAGGGGTCAAACATCTCAACTAAAGTAGTTGTATCCTCAACACGTTCTATGGTTACTATGAGAGCTATAACTGAGAAAGCAGGAGAAAGCTGGGTCTCCCTCCATCTGGGTGCTTGTCCTAAAGGGGTGTTGTATGTGGTTACCTGTCAATCAAGAAATGTGAGACAATTCATAAAGAGGAACTGCTATGATTAGCTTCTTATTGGTGTCTCCTCTTCTTCCAGGTAACCCCAGACACCTGCATGTTCTGATTGGGACCTCAGTGGTCATCATCCTCTTCATCCTCCTCCTCTTCTTTCTCCTTCATCGCTGGTGCTGCAACAAAAAAAGTAAGTCTCACGAAGCAGAGGCCAGAGAGCTCAGGGCCATGTGGGGAAGCAGGATGGGAGCACTCAGGTGTGTGTTCCTCACAGACAGGATGGTCCCTGGCCCAAGGCAGCAGCCACAGAGGGAGGACTTTCTAGAGAGAGCACCAGACTCCCTGTCCCTGCCTTCAGCTCACAGACCATTGCCTGATTCTGAACTGTATCCTCATGTCCCCTGCAGCCACTCACATCCAGGAGAAGGTTCCATGACAGGCAGAAAGTGGGAGACAGAATCAATGGGATGGGAACTCAGAGCTATTCATGGGATGGGTCCTTGAGCTCAGAGAGATAGAATGTCTGAGTCTGCTGTTGGCAACTGAGGGACCTCAGGCTCCTATGGTCTCCCCCTGTATGTTGGTATCTGCTTATGAAATGAGGGCCCAGAAGTGCCCTCTGAGCTGTTTTGTTGACTTCCGTCTTCTACAGATGCTGTTGTAATGGACCAAGAGCCTGCAGGGAACAGAACAGTGAACAGGGAGGTAGGTGCTCCTCGGCCCAGCCTCGTGGCTAGTGTTATTCCCAAAGAGTCCTGGAAAATGTGAGCACCCTCCCTCACTCAGCATTTCCCTCTCTCCAGGACTCTGATGAACAAGACCCTCAGGAGGTGACATATGCACAGTTGAATCACTGCGTTTTCACACAGAGAAAAATCACTCGCCCTTCTCAGAGGCCCAAGACACCCCCAACAGATATCATCGTGTACACGGAACTTCCAAATGCTGAGCCCTGATCCAAAGTTGTCTCCTGCCCATGAGCACCACAGTCAGGCCTTGAGGGGATCTTCTAGGGAGACAACAGCCCTGTCTCAAAACTGGGTTGCCAGCTCCAATGTACCAGCAGCTGGAATCTGAAGGCGTGAGTCTGCATCTTAGGGCATCGCTCTTCCTCACACCACAAATCTGAACGTGCCTCTCCCTTGCTTACAAATGTCTAAGGTCCCCACTGCCTGCTGGAGAGAAAACACACTCCTTTGCTTAGCCCACAATTCTCCATTTCACTTGACCCCTGCCCACCTCTCCAACCTAACTGGCTTACTTCCTAGTCTACTTGAGGCTGCAATCACACTGAGGAACTCACAATTCCAAACATACAAGAGGCTCCCTCTTAACACGGCACTTAGACACGTGCTGTTCCACCTTCCCTCATGCTGTTCCACCTCCCCTCAGACTAGCTTTCAGCCTTCTGTCAGCAGTAAAACTTATATATTTTTTAAAATAATTTCAATGTAGTTTTCCCTCCTTCAAATAAACATGTCTGCCCTCATGGTTTAGGTAATGGGACTCTTTTCTTGCCTAAGGCTTCCGGTGTTATCAGTACCATGTCCATATAATCCCATCTGTTCTCCACCGGGTTCTCACCTCTGGACTCTGAGCTTCTGGAAGCAGTGTGGAGCCTCATTTGTCTCTGGGACTCCAATTTCCATCCAAAGATGCAGCACATAGGAGGTTCCAAGGATCGGGAATCACATGAACAAGTGACATTGTTACTCTCTGCAGACCTGGAAAGCTGGCAGAGTCATTCCACGATGAAACATTTGTAGAGTCATAGGCCTTGTTAGTCTCATCTCCATGGGGACACATATCAACACATCATCTTTCATACTATAAATATACGGTCACTCCTCCGTATCTGTGGGGTTTACAGGTCTTTATTGAACAAAGTATAAATCAAAAATATTCAGAGAAAATATCCACAGAGTTCCAAAACTCATAACTATGTTGAATGGACACAAATGAAGCTGTGTGTAGGCTGTATCAGGAATTATAAGTAATCAAGAGATGATTTCATGTATACAGGAGGATGTGCATATGTTATTTGCAAGCGCTGTGCCATTTCATATAAGAGGCTTGAGCATCTACAGATTTTGGTATCTGAGTGGAGATCTCGAAACCAATCACCCACGAATAGTGAAGGATGACCGTATATGACTTTTATTTCTCAAATTTAAATATAAATCAAAAAATGTACAACTAGATAAAAACTAAGAAGTGTTTTTATAGTGTGAGTTAGATTTATTTTTTACTAGGTGTAACCCATTGGTTTAATATTATTTATTGAGAAGACATTCTATGCCACCTTAAACCACACGGCAGCCTTTGTCAACTCTAAAGGGACTGTGTGTACATGGATGTATTTTAGACAGTTTCTGCTAAGGGGCTGTCTGTGTCCACACACTTGATGATGCTACACTTTATGTAGCCTTATAGAACCCTTTAAATTTAGTAGCCAGAGCCCTCTAATTTGTTATTATAGGCTATTTGCTTTTTTTTTTCTTGAGGCGGAGTCTTGCTCTGTCGCCCAGGCTGGACTGCAGTGACACAATCTCAGCTCACTGCAACCTCCGCCTCCCAGGTTCAAGCGATTCTCGTGCCTCAGCCTCTTGAGTAGCTGGCGTTACAGGTGCCTGCCACCAGGCATGGCTAATTTTTGGATTTTTAGCAGAGACACGGTTTCACTATGTTGGCCAGGCTGCTCTCAATCCCCTCATCTCAGTTGATCCGCCCACCTCGGCTTCCCGACGTGCTGGGGAAACTTGATTTTCTATAGCATTATGTTACTGGATATTTCTGTAAAATTTAAAATGAGGGAGGCAGAGAGACAGAGAGAGATCAAACTCCAGAGTTGGGACTCTGGAATCTTGGGTCATGAGACAAATTTTAGATTAAACTACAAAACTCCAGAATTTACAGGTGTGGTTTTTGCTGATAAAGTACATTTCTAAGATTGTAAATAATTGCATAATCCTTCCCTGGGAATTTAAATCATTTTAACTGGTTCTGCTGTAATACTAGAAATACAAGCATGAAAAATTCTAATGGTTTATTAGTCACAATGACTCTGAAAACCTTAATAATACCTATTAAATATTTTGCATATTACACATGAAGAAGAGTTTGAATCTCAGATAAAAACAATAAAAATACATGAAAAGTCTTTCACGTTAGCACAGATTTTAGGCATCTCGTGTTCAGGAGGTTGGATCTGAGACGTGTTTTGAGTTGGTCATAGTGAAGGACGCTAGGTGTAAATTCTAGTGAGAACAATTTCCAGGAAGCCGTGTTCCGCTCTTGAGCGAGCACCCACTGGGCCTCATGCAAGGTAGAATGAGCCTGCGTACGTCACCCTCCCATGATGTGGTCAACATGTAAACTGCATGGGCAGGGCGCCAAATAACATCCTGTGCGCTGCTGAGCTGAGCTGGGGCACGGCCGCCTGTCTGCACCGGCAGCACCATGTCGCTCACGGTCGTCAGCATGGCGTGTGTTGGTGAGTCCTGGAAGGGAATAGAGGAAGGGAGTGTGGGGTTGGAGATCTGGGCCCAGAGGTGGAGATATAGGCCTGGAGGTGGAGTTGTGGGCCTGGAGTGGAGATCTGGGCCTGGAGTGGATATATGGGCCTAGAGATGGAGTGATGGGCCTAGAAGTGGAGATCTGGGCCTGGAGTGCCGATAGGAACCTGGAGGGGAGATAGGAGCCTGGAGTGGAGATATGGGCCTGGAGGTGGAGTTATAGGCCTATAGTAGAGATATGGGCCTGGAGTGGAGATTTGGGCCAGGAGTGGAGATATGGGCCTAGAGGTGGATATCTGGGCCTAGAGTGGAAATATGGGCCTAGGATGGAGATATGGGCCTGGTTGTGGAGATATGGGACTGGAGAGGAGATATGGGCCTAGAGTGGAGATATGGGCTTGGGGTGGAGATCTGGGCCTGGGGTGGAGATATGGGCCTGGAGGTGGAGTTACGGGCCTTCAGTAGAGATATGGGCCTGGGGTGGAGATATGGGCTTGGGGTGGAGATCTGGGCCTGGAGTGGAGATATGGGCCTGGAGGTGGAGTTACTGGCCTTCAGTAGAGATATGGGCCTGGTGTGGAGATATGGGCCTGGATTGGAGATATGGGCCTAGGTTGGAGATCTGAGCCTGGAGTGGAGATATGGGCCTGGATTGGAGATATGGGCTTACAGTGGAGATCTTGGCCTGGATTGGCGATATGGGCCTGGATTGGCGATATGGGCCTATGATGGAAATATCGGCCTGGAGTGGAGATATGGGCCTGGAGTGGAGATACAGGCCTAGGGTGGAAATATTGGCCTGGAGTGGAGATATGGGCTTGTGGTGGGGATATGGGCTTGTGGTGGGGATCTGGGCTTGGAGGCTGGGTCTCTGCACAGCCGACAGCCCTGTTCTTGGGTGCAGGTAGGCACTGAGGGTGAGTTTAACTTCAGTCCAGGAAGGGCCTGCCTACCAAGACTCACAGCCCAGTGAGGGCAGCAAGGGAGGGCTGGTTTGCCTGCAGATGGATCGTCCATCATGATCTTTCTTTCCAGGGTTCTTCTTGCTGCAGGGGGCCTGGCCACATGAGGGTGAGTCCTTCTCCAAACCTTAGGGTGTCATCTCCCCACATAAGAGGATTTTCCTGAAACAGGAGGGAAGTCCTGTCAGGGAGCCTCTCATAAACTAGGAAGAGGGGACCCTGGGGTGCTCGGCCCACAGTTCCGACCTCGCCTCCCTGGCCTTTCATTCCCTTGGCAGAGTCAAGTTCTGTGGGGACCAGGGTTAGACTGGGGTGCTCAAAGCTGGGGTGCGTGGTGGGGAAGTGGTAGGAACAGCAGATCCTCTGAGGACAAAGGTGTTACTCACACTTCAGCGTTTCCATGACGGTAGGGGCTGCAGTGTGGCTGCTGTCACTCCACCAGAAGAGGTGGGAAACCACAGCCATGGCCCTGACATTCCAAATCCTCTGATGGGGGCTCAGTTGCTTATTTTCATTCAGGCATCTGCTGATATTCCATTCTCAAAGACATGCCCTCCACCCCATGTCTACCCTGTGTTGTTTTATGTGAGTAATCTTACAGTATTAAAATCTAGTAGGAGTCTCTTACTCAGCACTTGCTCAAAGTTCTCAGCTGACACTTTTGTTGTAGGGAGACACCTTGTGTTTGCGGGATGGGTCCTTCCTTTAGCCCTGGGCACCAAGGTGTGATAGCAGCCATAGAAACTTGGAAAGCGAGGAGAATCTTCAGAGCACAGGGAGGGAGGGGTGGCTCCACATCCTCCTCTCTAAGGCGGTGCCTCCTTCTCCCCAAGGTGGTCAGGACAAGCCCTTGCTGTCTGCCTGGCCCAGCTCTGTGGTGCCTCCAGGACATGTGATTCTTCGGTGTCATTCTTATCTTGGGTTTAACAACTTCAGTCTGTAAAAGGAAGATGGGGTGCCTGGCACTGAGCTCTACAACAGAATATTCTGGAAGAGCCTTTTCATGGGCCCTGTGACCCCAGCACACACAGGGACGTACAGATGTCGGGGTTCACACCCACACTACCCCAGTGGGTGGTCGGCACCCAGCAACACCCTGGTGATCATGGCCACAGGTCAGAGGGCTCCTGTCTTGGATTCTCCTTTCCCACCTCCTGAATCCCAGAGCTTCTGGTGGGCGTGTCCTTGAGGGTCCCATCACCCAGGCCCTGACTATATTTGGGGTAAAGGGGGATTGAATACAGGGAAATGGGTGCTGTGGTGGGAAGAATAATTGTCCCCAGTGATGACTACATTCTAATCCCTGGAGTCTGTGACTATTTATGTTATAGGGGAAGGAACTGAAGGGGAAGATGGAGCTCAGGTTGTTGATGAGTTGACCTTGAGATGGGGAGACAGCCTGGACTGTCCCGCTGGGCTCAGTGTAATCACAAGGGTCCACATGAAAGGAGGAGGAAGAGGGGAGTGGGGATTAGAGCAGCGCAATGGGAGACTCCACCAGCTTTGAAGGTGGAGGAAGGCCAGGAGCCATGAATGCAGGTGGCCTGTAGAGGTTGGAAAAGTCAAGGAAATGATTCTCCAGAGTCTCCAGAGGGAACGAAGCCCTGCAGATGCCTTGATTTTAGCCCAGGAAAAACAGGGTCCTATTTCTGTCTCCAGTAGTGAAATGGGTCAGTGTGCTCTCTCCTGCTGCCATGCTTCTGATAATTTTCTACAGCAGCAACAGGAAACCAACACTGGAACCCAGGTCAAGGACAAGGTAAGAAACAACACAAGGATAGCCGGGTGTGGTGGCAGGCGCATGTAATCCTAGCGACTTGGGAGGCTGAGGGCAGGAGAATCACTTGAACCCAGGAGACAGAGGTTGCAGTGACCCTAGACCACACCACTTCACTCCAGCTGGGGTGAAGGAGTGAGACTCTGTCTCCATAATTAATTAATTAATTAAAGGAACCAAACAAGGGGAAGGTTGGCTACACCGAGATGAGCAAGTGTGGGATGATGATGCCACCACCAGGCTCCATCCACATAGGGAGGGGTTGATACTCCTCAAACCAGCACCAGGAGCCAGCCTATGGAAGCTGGCACCATGGAGAAGGCACAGGCATGGCAAGAGTGGCTCCCAGTCCCGACCAGGAACAGGGTGTGTGGACACTGGTGCCTGCCTTATTCATCAGTTCATACCTACTGCCAAGGATTCCAATTCATCCAAAAGAGATTGAACCAGGCTGATAAGAGGCTGGATGTGCAGCCTATCCTGGTTCCTCTTTCACCCCCACATAAACAGCAGGAAAGACATTAGTGTGAAATAGATACAACACCCCAAGAGATGAGGCTAAGCCCAGTGGGAAGGGAATCAGAGGCGACTAGAGACAGAGGGACAGAGAAGAGGGAGGGAGACAGATGGAAGGACCTGCACCAGGAGTTATGGGCCCAGAAAAGAACATGAAGACACAGAGAGGAAGGAGAGAGACAGACACCAGCAAGGGGAAGCCTCACTCATTCTAGGTGCCATGGATGGGATGATAAAGAGAGACACCTTCTAAACTCACAACCTCTCTTCCTAGGAGTCCACAGAAAACCTTCCCTCCTGGCCCACCCAGGTCCCCTGGTGAAATCAGAAGAGACAGTCATCCTGCAATGTTGGTCAGATGTCAGGTTTCAGCACTTCCTTCTGCACAGAGAAGGGAAGTTTAACGACACTTTGCACCTCACTGGAGAGCACCATGATGGGGTTTCCAAGGCCAACTTCTCCATCGGTCCCATGATGGAAGACCTGGCAGGGACCTACAGATGCTACGGTTCTGTTACTCACTCCCCCATCAGTTGTCAGCTCCCAGTGACCCTCTGGACATCGTCATCACAGGTGAGAGTGTCCGGACATTCTTCTCATTGTCATTGGGATGCAGAGTGAATGATCCACGACTTGGAACCCCCAGGTAGTTGTAAGGAAGATGAGCTTGGTATTCTTATGGAGAGAGACTGACTTGGTGAGGTCTGTACCAACAGAGACAGAGAAACAGGAGACACAAGTACAGACCAGGTGTCATAACAGAGGACAGACACAGGGGCCATACCGGGAGTTAGAAAAGACAGAAGGAGTTAAAGGAGACAGACAGACAGACATGTCCCAGAGAGAGGTGTCCCTCCATGCTGACTTTGCTCAGAGACCTGGCACAGGTTAGAAGTTTCATTTCTGTTTTACCTCCACAAAGTGTTCTCTACCAGGAGAACCCAAGGACACCCATATTTATGACCTGAGTTGGGCCCTGTGGCCTCAGGCCTTGTGGCACCTACAGATGCCGTGTTTATTCTGACACCTCTGCCTTCCATGTAATGGAGAGTAACCGTCCCAGGATATCATGGCCCCAGAACACCAACTCCTGTATGCTGTGTGAACTTGTGGTCTCCAGACTGGATTCTGAGGCTCACATTCCAAATAACCCCACATATGAAAGGATCACTGAGAGGCACAGAGAGAAATCAGGGACACCAAAAAGCAAAGACATAAACACACAGAGAATGAGCCAGAGGAAGGAGATTGAGAGACTCACAGACACATAAAGAGAGAGAAAAGAGGGCAGAGGAGTGGTGAGAATGATGGAAGGGAGCAGAGAAAAGCACTAAAATTAGACTCCTGAGGGAGAGGCACAAGGACATAGAAAGATGGAGATGTGGGGATGAATTGCAGAGATTCCAAAGAGAACTAGAGAGACCGAGAGGCAGAGCAAGACAGATGATAGATGGATAGATATAGATAGATGATAAATAGGTAGATGATAGATAATAGGTTAAAGATACATAGATGATGATTGATTGATTCATTAATAGATGAGACATAGAGATGATGATGATGAAGACAGATAGATAATACATAGAGATAGAGAGGCAGACAGAAGTCATAGAGAGAGAGATGATACATAGATATAGATAACAGATGATTGATGGATAGATAGACAAGTGATAGATACATAGATGATATATAGATATAGATGACAGGTAGAGAATTTGTAGATAGGCACCGAATAGATAAATAGATAGATCGATAGATAATAGATAGAAATATGCAGAAAGTTATGAACAGGACACAAAGTGAGAAACTTAGAATTTAAAAAAGTAACATCAAGTCAACCAATCCAAGGAGAGTCAGAGAGAATAAAACAATCCAAAAAGGGAAAACATATCTAGAGGTGTGGAAGCGAGGTCAGAGACCTAGAGAGACAGAGAAGGTGGAAGGAGGAAATAGACATGAAGAGAGATGGGGTGGAGGGTGAGAGAGAGAGAGAGAGAGAGCATTAGGTCATAGAGCAGGGGAGTGAGTTCTCAGCTCAGGTGAAGGGAGCTGTGACAAGGAAGATCCTCCGTAAGGAAAATGCCTCTTCTCCTTCCAGGTCTATATGAGAAACCTTCTCTCTCAGCCCAGCCGGGCCCCACGGTTCTGGCAGGAGAGAGCGTGACCTTGTCCTGCAGCTCCCGGAGCTCCTATGACATGTACCATCTATCCAGGGAGGGGGAGGCCCATGAACGTAGGTTCTCTGCAGGGCCCAAGGTCAACGGAACATTCCAGGCTGACTTTCCTCTGGGCCCTGCCACCCACGGAGGAACCTACAGATGCTTCGGCTCTTTCCGTGACTCTCCCTACGAGTGGTCAAACTCGAGTGACCCACTGCTTGTTTCTGTCACAGGTGAGGAAAGCCCATGGCTGTCCCATGTCCTATGATCCTAGAGCCTTAGCTGAGGAGCTTCCTGCTGAGGATGGAGAGAAGGATGAACAGATGCAGAGAGAAGACGAAGCTTGGGTGTGAGGGAGGGATCAGGGCACAGGATGGCAGACAGGGCACCTCCAAACCCTCCTACATGGCCTGCATGAAGGCCTGCGGCCAGGACTCCAGGCACCCAGGCAGATGGAGAAAGCGGTCAGGAGAGACCCAGAGGAGGGAGACTGGGCTCAGTTTGGGAAGATCAGAGGTTCCCTCAGCCCCTCAACATTACCCATTTCCCAGAAGCCCATCCTGGCCTCCCACCCACACAGGGATGTCATCACCTGCAACCCCTACACCCTTTACTTTTGTTTGAGAAATATTTATTGAGGATAAATATACCTATATAGCTTACCACCTTTAACATTTTTTTTTTGAGGCGGAGTCTAGCTCTGTCCCCTATGCTGGAGTGCATTGGCACAATCTCAGCTCACTGCAACTTCCGCCTCCTGGGTTCAAGCGATTCTCTTGCCTCAGCCACCTGAGTAGCTGGTGCTACAGGCGCGCACCACCATGCCAGGCTACTTTTTGTATTTTTAGTAGAGAGGGGGTTTCACCATGTTGGTCAAGCTGGTCTCGAACTCCTGACCACGTGATCCACCCGCATCAGCCTCCCAAAGTGCTGGGATTACAGGCATGAGCCACCACGCCCAGCCACATTTACCATTTTTAAGTGTAAAGTCTAGTGGTCATAAATACATTAATATATATATATATACACATATTTTTTTTTACCCTCCACCCTTTTCTTCCTGGCCTCTGGTAGCCACCATTCTACTCTCTACCTTCATGAGATCCACCTTTTAGCTCCTGTATATGGGTAAGAAATGGGAATCTTTGTAATGACCTCCAGTTCCATCCATGTGGCTGCAAATATCAGGATGTTTTTCTTTCTATGGAAGAGTAGTCTCCACTATGCAAATGTACCACATTCTCTCTATCCATTCACCCACTGATGGGCAGGTAGGTTGACTCCTCATCTTGGCTACTGTGAAGAGTGCTGCACCAATCATACGAGTGCAGATATCACTTCGATATATTGATTTACTTTCCTTTGGATATAAACCCAGTAGTGAAATTGCTGGATACTATGAAAGTTCTCTTTTTAGTTTTTCGTTTGTTGTTTTGTTTTTGTTTTTGAGACAGTTTCCCTCTGTGCCCAGGCTGGAGTACAAGTGATGTCATCTTGGCTCATTGCAACCTCTGCCTCCTGGGTTCAAATGATTTTCCTGCCTCAGCCTCCCTAGTATCAGGGATTATAGGCGCACGCCACCATGCCTGGCTACTTTTTGTTTTTTTTAGTATAGATGCGGTTTCCCCATGTTGGCTGGGCTGCTCTCAAACTCATGACCTCAACTGAGGTGCCCGCCTCGGTCTCCCAAAGTGCCGGGATTACAGGCATGATCCACCTCACCCAACCTCTTTTTAGTTCTTTAAAGGACTTCCACACTTTTCTCCGTAATGGCTGTACTAATTTACACTCCTACCAACAGGATACCAGGATTCTCCTTTCTCTAACACCTTGCCAGCATTTCTTTTGCCTGTCTTGCAGCTAAAAGCCATTTTATTTTATTTCATTTTATTTTGAGATGGAGTTTCGCTCTTGTCACCCAGGCTGAGTGCAGTGGTGCGATCTCGGCTCACCACAACCTCCACCTCCCAGGTTCAAGCGATTCTCCTGCCTCAGCCTCCCGAGTAGCTGGAATTACAGGCACACGCCACCACGCCCGACTAATTTTTGTATTTTTAGTAGAGACAGTGTTTCTCCATGTGGGTCAGACTGGTCTCAAACTCCCGACCTTATGAGATTCACCCACCTCAGGCTCTCAAAGTTCTAGGATGACAGACGTGAGCCACCACGCCCGGCCTAAAAGCCATTTTAATGGGGTGAGATGAAAACTCACTTTGATTTTAATTTGTGTTTCTCTGATGATGAGTGATACTGAGCACTTTTTCGTATGTGGGGAAATTTCATGTCTTTTGCTCCTGTTTCAATTAAATCATTTGTTTTATTGAGTTGTTTGAGCTTCTTATATTTCTAGTTATTAATCCCATCTCAGATGCATAGTTTGCACATATTTGCTCCCAATCTGTGGGTTGTCTCTTCACTTTGTTGGTTTATTTTTAGCGGTGCAGAAGTTGCTTAGTTTGAGGTAATCCCAATGGTCTATTTTTGCTTCGATTACTTGTGTTTTGAAGGTTTAAAACAAAATGTCTTCCTTCAGACAAACGTCCTGGAGCATTTCCCCAATATTTTCTTCTACGTGTTTCATAGGTTCAGGCCTTAGACTCACATCTTTAATCCATTTTCATTTGATTTTTGTGTATAGTGACAGGCAGAGGTGCAGTTTCATTCCTCTGCATGTCGATGTCCAGGTTTCCCTGCACTGTTTATTGAAAAGACTGTCCTTTCCTGATTGTGAGTTCTTGGCACCTTTGTCAAAGTCCATTGGATGGGCTGGGCATGGTGGCTGACACCTGCAATTTCAGCACTTTGGGAGCCCGAGGTGGGTGGATCACCTGAGGCCAAGAGTTCAAGATTAGTCTGGCCAACGTGATGAAACATCGTCTCCACTAAAAATATAAAAATTAGCTGAGCATGGTGGTCAGCACCTGTAATACCACTACTCAGGAGTTTGAGGCAAGAGAAGTGATTGAACCCAGGAGGCTGTGGTGGCAGTGAACCGAGATTGCACCTCTGCACTCCAGCCTGGGTGACAGAGCAAGACTCCATCTCAAAAGAAAAACAAAAAATACATTGGAGGTAAATGCATGGATTATATCTGTGTTATTCATTCTGCTCCGTTGTTCTATGTGCCTTTCTTCATGCCAACGTCATGCTGTCTTGCTTACTACAGCTCTGTAACATATTTTGAGATCAGGTAGTGTGATGCTCCTGTTTTCTCTTTATACCTTGAAGTCTCAAGACAGTAGCCGTCACATACAAAAATTACGGAAAAAAGGATCCCAGGACTCCCAGGGCCCAATATTAGATAACAGAGTGTTGGCCATGAACCAACCTCAAAGATTTCCACTGAGTAGAGGACAGACACCCTCATTTCCTCACCTCTCTCCTGTCTCATGTTCTAGGAAACCCTTCAAATAGTTGGCCTTCACCCACTGAACCAAGCTCCAAAACCGGTGAGTACAGAACCCTCTTATATCCGCTTTTGGAAACCTGGGGAGGTGGAAACCTTGGATTCAGGCGTTGACTCAGCATCTCACAGCTCTGACATTGTACGCCTGTCTTCTACCATCTCCAAACTCCAGATACTCCAACAGCGAAAGGGATCTGGACCCAAAACAGGGCTCTGTGAAATCTCTTAATCTCTCATTTTATGGAGCTGAGATCTCCTACAAGCTAGAAAAATGATTGGCAATCTGACATCCTTCTCAGGAAAAATGCAATGTTTGTTCTGCCTGCATTCCTAACTGGAGGATAAATTCCTGGGGGCTTGAGAGAGGGAAGGGTAGGGAACATTTGATGAGGGCGAGGTGTTTTAGAGAAGTTCCACTTGCCCAGGAATGAATTACTGTTGGTCATGAAGCAACCCTGGCTGACTCAGCAGAGCAAGAGCTTTGCCTTAACAGAGAACGGAGCTCATGCACGCACACTTCGACTCACTGACTCATTCAGCCACGGCCCCATGCTCAGGCCGTGGAAAAGGCAATTCCCAGCACTGCAGGAGGCCAAGGCGGGTGGATCACTTGAAGTCAGGAGTTCCAGACCAGCCTGGCCAAAATGGTGAAACCCTGTCTCTATGAAAAATACAAAAATTAGCCGAGCATGGTGGTGCATCCCTGTAATCCCAGCTCCTACTCTTGAGGATGAAGCAGGAGAACGACTTCAACCCAGGAGGTGGAGGTTGCAGTGAGTGGAGATTGCATCACTGCACTCCAGCCTGGGTGACACAAGGAGACTCCGTCTCAAAAAATAAAAATAAGAAATGCATAAATATAATAAAACACACACGAATGACAAAGGCACCTGAATTCCAATCATCATTTTTGTATTTCTCTATAATTACTTCTTTGATCCTTTGTCTTATCCATTAGGCAATGAGCCTAAAACCTCTTCCGTATTTGGCTTTCTGTGAGCATGAGACCATATAGAAAATGTGAAAGCCCGCTGAATCCTCCAGCACAGATCGTGGAATAGAGAAAGTGCTCTGTTCATCACAAAAAAAACTTGCCCTCTCACTCAAATCCCCCACTTCACCCCTACTTCCAATCACCTGTGGAGATTCAGATAGACCATGGGGAGGTAAACATTAATACTCCTTGGAGTGAGTCCAGATCTTGGAATGAGAGATCAGCACCAGCACTAGCTCCTGCTCCCCTTTCCTACTAATTCACAGGAGGACAGGTGGTATTGAAGCAATAGATGGTGGAGGGGGTGGTCCTTCCCCCAGCCTCTCAGGTAGAACAGCAGCCTAACATGTGTCTCCCGAGATCACAAAGAGTAGGACGTTTCACAGGGGCTTCAACACGATTTCCTGGCTGTTGGACATAAGATAACTCTATTTCGCTTTTTTATCTTGATTTCACTTTTGTTTCCTTTCCTTGGAGAACGCAAGTTGTTTGACTCAAGAATGCTGTGGATGTAGAAATCCTAAAGCACATTCGCTGTGTGTCAATCCCAGTGCAGTCTTCCCAGAAAAGACCCTAAACACCTCCTAGACTGCACCTGGGCCTACGCCAATTCCTATCACTCACCGTCACTCCAGGGAGACAGAACACACAGAGAATACGTTACATAGGCAGGTTCATTACTAACAGATAAGCAGCGAGTGAAAACAGAAGCCTACATTTCAATGTGAGCCAGTCCCTCAAGGCTCAGAAAAGCTGCTCGGGACATATGGAGTCACCCCATTTGCAGTGTAGCTGGGGGAAGCCAGAAAGCAGCCCAGCCTGGGTTTTGTACCCTGGAGCCACAGGAAGCACTCAGCTAAAGCACTGCATGACGTCCTCCTCCAGGAAGAACAGGAAGACAGCCCAGGCTGCTCTGGGACGTTCCTCCTGATCTCAGGACGTTGCTGTCTTAGTCCATTTTTGTTGCTCTAAAGGAACACTTGAGCCTGGGCAACTTCTAAAGAAAAGAGATTGGTTTGCCTCACCGTTCTGCAGGCTGTACTGGAAGCATGGCACCAGCATCTATTTCTCGTGATGGCCTCAGGCTGCTCCCACTCTGGCAGAAGGGAAGGAGGGTCTGTCTGTGCAGAGACCACAGAGATCACACGGCAAGAGAGGGAGCAAGGGGGAGGGGGAGCGATGGAGCTTCCAAGTTCTTTTGAACAACCAGCTCTCCAGGAACTAATAGAGGGGGAACTAGCTAACCCCGTCTCCTTGGGACAGCATTGATCTGTTCATGATGGATCCACCTCCATGACCCAAACACCTCTCAAGAGGCCCAACCTCCCACAATGGGGGTGAAATTTCAATGTGAGGTTTGAAGGGGTCAAACATCTCAACTAAAGTAGTTGTGTCCTCAGCACATTCTATGGTTACTTTGAGAGCTATAACTGAGAAAGCAGGAGAAAGCTGGGTCTCCCGCCATCTGGGTGCTTGTCCTAAAGAGGTGTTTTACGTGGTTACCTGTCAATCAAGAAATGCGAGACAATTCATAAAGAGGAACTGCTATGATTAGCTTCTTATTGGTGTCTCATCTTCTTCCAGGTAACCCAAGACACCTGCACGTTCTGATTGGGACCTCAGTGGTCATCATCCTCTTCATCCTCCTCCTCTTCTTTCTCCTTCATCGCTGGTGCTCCAACAAGAAAAGTAAGTCTCACGAAGGAGAGGCCAGAGAGCTCAGGGCCATGTGGGGAAGCAGGATGGGAGCACTCAGGTGTGTGTTCCTCACAGGTAGGATGGTCCCTGGCCCAAGGCAGCAGCCACAGAGGCAGGACTTTCTAGAGAGGGCACCAGACTCCCTGTCCCTGCTTTCAGCTCACAGACCGTTGCCTGATTCTGAACTGTATCCTCATGTCCCCTGCAGCCACTCACATCCAGGAGAAGGTTCCATGACAGGCAGAAAGTGGGAGACAGAATCAATGGGATGGGAACTCAGAGCTATTCATGGGATGGGTCCTTGAGCTCAGAGAGATAGAATGTCTGAGTCTGCTGTTGGCAACTGAGGGACCTCAGGCACCTATGGCCTCCCCCTGTTTGTTGGTATCTGCTTATGAAATGAGGACCCAGAAGTGCCCTCCGAGCTCTTTTGTTGACTTCCGTCTCCTACACATGCTGCTGTAATGGACCAAGAGCCTGCAGGGAACAGAACAGCGAATAGCGAGGTAGGTGCTCCTCGGCCCAGCCTCGTGGCTAGTGTTATTCCCAAACAGTCCTGGAAAACGTGAGCACCCTCCCTCACTCAGGATTTCCCTCTCTCCAGGACTCTGATGAACAAGACCCTCAGGAGGTGACATACGTACAGTTGGATCACTGCGTTTTCACACAGAGAAAAATCACTCGCCCTTCTCAGAGGCCCAAGACACCCCCAACAGATACCAGAGTGTACACGGAACTTCCAAATGCTGAGTCCAGATCCAAAGTTGTCTCCTGCCCATGAGCACCACAGTCAGGCCTTGAGGGGATCTTCTAGGGAGACAACAGCCCTGTCTCAAAACCGGGTTGCCAGCTCCCATGTACCAGCAGCTGGAATCTGAAGGCGTGAGTCTGCATCTTAGGGCATCGCTCTTCCTCACACCACAAATCTGAATGTGCCTCTCTCTTGCTTACAAATGTCTAAGGTCCCCACTGCCTGCTGGAGAGAAAACACACTCCTTTGCTTAGCCCACAATTCTCCATTTCACTTGACCCCTGCCCACCTCTCCAACCTTACTGGCTTACTTCCTAGTCTACTTGAGGCTGCAATCACACTGAGGAACTCACAGTTCCAAACATACAAGAGGCTCCCTCTTAACACGGCACTTAGACACGTCCTGTTCCACCTTCCCTCATGCTGTTCCACCTCCCCTCAGAGTATCTTTCAGCCTTCTGTCAGCAGTAAAACTTATATATTTTTTAAAATAATTTCAATGTAGTTTTCCCTCCTTCAAATAAACATGTCTGCCCTCATGGTTTCGGTAATGGGACTCTTTTCTTGCCTAAGACTTCCATTATCATTACCATGTCCACATAACCCCATCTGTTCTCCACTGGGTTCTCACCCCCGGACTCTGAGTTTCTGGAAGCAGGGTGGAGCCTCATTTGTCTCTGGGACTCCTATTTCCATCCAAAGATGTAGCACATAGGAGGTTCCAAGGATCGTGAATCACATGAACAAGTGATATTCTTACTCTCTGCAGACCTGGAAATCTGGCAGAGTCATTCCAAGATGAAACATTTGTAGAATCATAGGCCTTGTTAGTCTCATCTACACAGGGACACATATCAACACATCATCTTTCACACTATAAATATACAGTCACTCCTCCATATCTGTGGGGTTTACAGTTCTTTATTGAACCGAGTATAAATCAAAAATATTCAGAGAAAGTATCCACAGAGTTACAAAAAGCAGAACTGTGTTGAATGGACACAAATGAAGCTGTGTGTAGGCTGCATCAGGAATTATAAGTAATCTAGAGATGATTTCATGTATACAGGAGGATGTGCATAGGTTATTTGCAAACTCTGTGCCATTTCATATAAGAGGCTTGAGCATCTACAGATTTTGGTATCTGAGTGGAGATCTCGAAACCAATCACCCACGAATAGTGAAGGATGACCGTATATGACTTTTATTTCTCAAATTTAAATATAAATCATAAAAAATGTACAACTAGATAAAAACTAAGAAGTGTTTTTATAGTGTGAGTTAGATTTATTTTTTCCTAGGTATAACCCATTGGTTTAATATTATTTATTGAGAAGACATTCTATGCCACCTTAAACCACACGGCAGCCTTTGTCAACTCTAAAGGGACTGTGTGTACACGGATGTACTTTAGACACTGTTTCTGCTAAGGGGCTCTCTGTGTCCACACTCTTGATGATGCTGCACTTTATGTAGCCTTATAGAACCCTTTAAATTTAGTAGCCAGAGCTCTCTAATTTGTTATTATAGGCTATTTGCTTTTTTTTCTTGAGGCGGAGTCTTGCTCTGTCGCCCAGGCTGGACTGCAGTGACACAATCTCAGCTCACTGCAACTTCTGCCTCCCAGGTTCAAGCGATTCTCATGCCTCAGCCTCTTGAGTAGCTGGCGTTACAGGTGCCTGCCACCAGGCACGGCTAATTTTTGGATTTTTAGCAGAGACACGGTTTCACTATATTGGCCAGGCTGCTCTCAAACTCCTTATCTCAGTTGATCCGCCCACCTCGGCTTCCCAACGTGCTGGGGAAACTTGATTTTCTATAGCATTATGTTACTGGATATTTCTGTAAAATTTAAAATGAGGGAGGGAGAGAGACAGACGGAAAACAAACTCCAGAGTTGGGACTCTGGAATCTTGGGTCATGAGACAAATTTTAGATTAAACTACAAAACTCCAGAATTTACAGGTGGGGTTTTTACTGATAAAGTACAATTCTAAGATTGTAAATAATTGCATAATCCTTCCCTGGGAATTTAAATCATTTTAACTGGTTCTGCTGTAATACTAGAAATACAAGCATGAAAAATTCTAATGGTTTATTAGTGACAATGACTCTGAAAACATTAATAATACCTATTAGATATTTTGCATATTACACAGGAAGAAGAGTTTGAATCTCAGATAAAAACAATAGAAATACATGAAAAGTCTTTCATGTTAGCACAGATTTTAGGCATCTCGTGTTCGGGAGGTTGGATCTCAGACGTGTTTTGAGTTGGTCATAGTGAAGGACACTAGGTGTCAAATTCTAGCGAGAACAATTTCCAGGAAGCCGTGTTCCGCTCTTGAGCGAGCACCCACTGGGCCTCATGCAAGGTAGAAAGAGCCTGCGTACGTCACCCTCCCATGATGTGGTCAACATGTAAACTGCATGGGCAGGGCGCCAAATAACATCCTGTGCGCTGCTGAGCTGAGCTCGGTCGCGGCTGCCTGTCTGCTCCGGCAGCACCATGTCGCTCTTGGTCGTCAGCATGGCGTGTGTTGGTGAGTCCTGGAAAGCAATAGAGGGAGGGAGTGAGGGGATGGAGATCTGGGCCCAGAGGTGGAGATATAGGCCTGGAGGTGGAGTTATGGGCCTGGAGTGGAGATCTGGGCCTGGAGTGGATATATGGGCCTAGAGATGGAGTGATGGGCCTAGAAGTGGAGATCTGGGCCCAGAGGTCGAGATATAGGCCTGGAGGTGGAGTGATGGGACTGTAGTGGAGATCTGGGCCTGGAGTGGAGATAGGAACCTGGAGGGGAGATAGGAACCTGGAGGGGAGATATGGGCCTGGAGGTGGAGATATGGGCCTGGAGTGGAGTCATGGGCCTGGAGGTGGAGTTATGGGCCTGCAGTAGAGATATGGGCCTGAAGTGGAGACATGGGCCTGGAGTGGAGATATGGGCCAGGAGTGGAGATATGGGCCTAGAGGTCGATATCTGGGCCTGGAGTGGAGATATGGGCCAGGAGTGGAGATATGGGCCTAGAGGTCGATATCTGGGCCTGGAGAGGAGATATGTGCCTAGGATGGAGATACGGGCCTGGGTGTGGAGATATGGGACTGGAGAGGATATATGGGCCTGGAGTGGAGATATGGGACTGGAGAGGAGATATGGACCTGGAGTGGAGATAAGGGCCTGGATTGGAGATATGGGCCCAGGGTGGAGATCTGAGCCTGGATTGGAGATATGGGCCTGGATTGGCGATATGGGCTTAGGGTGGAAATATCGGCCTGGAGTGGAGATATGGGCCTGGAGTGGAGATATGGGCTTGAGGTGGGGATATGGACCTGGAGGCTGGGTCTCTGCACAGCCGACAGCCCTGTTCTTGGGTGCAGGTAGGCACTGAGGGTGAGTTTACCTTCAGCCCAGGAAGGGCCTGGCTACCAAGACTCACAGCCCAGTGGGGGCAGCAAGGGTGCCCTGGTTTGCCTGCAGATGGGTCATCCATCATGATCTTTCTTTCCAGGGTTCTTCTTGCTGCAGGGGGCCTGGCCACATGAGGGTGAGTCCTTCTCCCAACCTTCGGGTGTCATCTCCCCACATAAGAGGATTTTCCTGAAATGGGAGGGAAGTCCTGTCAGGGAGTCTCTCATAAACTAGGAAGAAGGGACCCTGGGGTGCTGGGCCCACATTTCTGACCTTGCCTCCCTGGCCTTTCATTCCCTTGGCAGAGTCAAGTTCTGTGGGGACCAGGGTTAGACTACGGTGCTCAAAGCTGGGGTGTGTGGTGGGGAAGTGGTAGGAACAGCAGATCCTCTGAGGACAAAGGTGTTACTCACACACTTCAGCGTTTCCATGACGGTAGGGGCTGCAGTGTGGCTGCTGTCATTCTACCAGAAGAGGTGGGAAAACCACAGCCATGGCCCTGACATTCCAATCCTCTGATGGGGACTCAGTTGTTTATTTTCGTTCAGGCATCGGCTGATATTCCATTCTCAAAGGACATGCCCTCCACCCCATGTCTACCCTGTGTTGTTTTATGTGAGTAATCTTACAGTATTAAAATCTAGTAGGAGTCTCTTACTCAGCACTTGCTCAAAGTTCTCAGCTGACACTTTTGTTGTAGGGAGACACCTTGTGTTTGCGGGATGGGTCCTTCCTTTAGCCCTGGGCACCAAGGTGTGATAGCAGCCATAGAAACTTGGAAAGCGAGGAGAATCTTCAGAGCACAGGGAGGGAGGGGCGGCTCCACATCCTCCTCTCTAAGGCGGTGCCTCCTTCTCCCCACGGTGGTCAGGACAAGCCCTTGCTGTCTGCCTGGCCAAGCCCTGTGGTGCCTCCAGGACATGTGATTCTTCAGTGTCATTCTTATCTTGGGTTTAACAACTTCAGTCTGTAAAAGGAAGATGGGGTGCCTGTCCCTGAGCTCTACAACATAATATTCTGGAACAGCCTTTTCATGGGCCCTGTGACCCCAGCACACGCAGGGACCTATACATGTCGGGGTTCACAACCACACTACCCCAGTGGGTGGTCGGCACCCAGCAACCCCCTGGAGATCACGGTCACAGGTCAGAGGGCTCCTGTCTGGGATTCTCCTTGTCCCACCTCCTGAATCCCAGAGCTCCTGGTGGGCGTGTCCTTGCGGGTCCCATCATGCAAGTCCTGACTGTATTTGGGGTAAAGGGGGATTGAATACAGGGAAATGGGTGCTGTGGTGGGAAGAATAATTGTCCCCAGTGATGACTACATTCTAATCCCTGGAGTCTGTGACTATTTATGATATAGGGGAAGGGACTGAAGGAGAAGATGGAGCTCAGGTTGTTGATGAGTTGACCTTGAGATGGGGAGACAGCCTGGACTGTCCTGATGGGCTCAGTGTAGTCACAGGGGTCCACATGAAAGGAGGAGGAAGAGGGGAGTGGGGATTACAGCAGCATAATGGGAGTCTCCATCAGCTTTGAAGGTGGAGGAAGTCCAGGAGCCATGAATGCAGGTGGCCTATAGAGGCTGGAAAAGTCAAGGAACTGATTCTCCTGAGTCTCCAGAGGGAACGAAGCCCTGCAGGTGCCTTGATTTTACCCACGACAAACAGGGTCCGATTTCTGTCTCCAGAATTGGAAGGGGTTAGTGTGCTCTCTCCTGGTGCCATGCTTCTGATAATTTTCTACAGCAGCAACAGGAAACCAACACTGGAACCCAGGTCAAGGACAAGTTAAGAAACAACACAAGGATAGCCAGGCATGGTGGCAGGTGCATGTAATCCTAGCGACTTGGGAGGCTGAGGGCAGGAGAATCACTTGAACCCAGGAGACAGAGGTTGCAGTGAGCCTAGACCACACCACTTCACTCCAGCCTGGGCAAAGGAGTGAGACTCTGTCGCCAAAATTAATTAATTAATTAAAGAAACCAAACAAGGAGAAGGTTGGCTACACTGAGATCAGCAAGGCTCAGATGATGATGCCACCACCAGGCTCCATCCACATAGGGAGGGGTTGATACTCCTCCAACCAGCACCAGGAGCCAGCCTATGGAAGCTGGCACTGGCATGGCAAGAGTGGCTCCCAGTCCCTACCAGGAACAGGGTGTGTGGCCACTGGTGCCTGCCTTACTGATCAGTTCATACCTCCTGCCAAGGATTCCAATTCGTCCAAAAGAGATTGAACCAGGCTGCTAAGAGCCTGGATGTGCAGCCTATCCTGGTTCCTCTTCCACCCCCACATAGACAGCAGGAAAGACATTAGTTCGAAATAGATACAACAGCCCAAGAGATGAGGCTGAGCCCAGCGGCAAGGGAATCAGAGGCTACTAGAGACAGAGGGACAGAGAAGAGTGAGGGAGACAGATGGAAGGACCTGCACCAGGAGTTATGGGCACAGAAAAGAACATGAAGACACAGAGAGGAAGGAGAGAGATAAGACACCAGGAAGGGGAAGCCTGACTCAATCCAGGTGCCATGGATGGGATGATAAAGAGAGACACCTTCTAAACTCACAACCTCTCTTCCTAGGAGTCCACAGAAAACCTTCCCTCCTGGCCCACCCAGGTCGCCTGGTGAAATCAGAAGAGACAGTCATCCTGCAGTGTTGGTCAGATGTCATGTTTGAACACTTCCTTCTGCACAGAGAGGGGATGTTTAACGACACTTTGCGCCTCATTGGAGAACACCATGATGGGGTCTCCAAGGCCAACTTCTCCATCAGTCGCATGACGCAAGACCTGGCAGGGACCTACAGATGCTACGGTTCTGTTACTCACTCCCCCTATCAGGTGTCAGCTCCCAGTGACCCTCTGGACATCGTGATCATAGGTGAGAGTGTCCAGACTTTCTTCTCATTGTCATTGGGATGCAGAGTGAATGATCCAGGAATTGGAGACCCAGGTGGCTGTAAGGAAGATGAGCTTGGTATTCTTATGGAGAGAGACTGACTTGGTGAGGTCTGTGCCAACAGAGACAGAGAAACAGGAGACACAAGTAGAGACCAGGTGTCATAACAGAGAACAGACACAGGGGCCATACCGGGAGTTAGAAAAGACAGAAAGAGTTAAAGGAGACACACAGACAGACATGTCCCAGAGAGAGGTGTCCCTCCATGCTGACTTTGCTCAGAGACCTGGCACAGGTTAGAAGTTTCATTTCTGTTTTACCTCCACAAAGTGTTCTCTACCAGGAGAACCCAAGGACACCCATATTTCTGACCTGAGTTGGGCCCTGTGGCCTCAGGCCTTGTGGCACCTACAGATGCCATGTTTATTCTGACACCTCTGCCTTCCATGTAATGGAGAGTAATCGTCCCAGGATATCATGGCCCCACAACACCAACCCCTGTATGCTGTGTGAACTTGTAGTCTCCAGACTGGATTCTGAGGCTCATATTCCAAATAAGCCCACTTATGAGAGGATCAGTGAGAGGCACAGAGAGAAATCAGGGACACCAAAAAGCAAAGACATAAACACACAGAGAATGAGCCAGAGGAAGGAGATTGAGAGACTCACAGACACATAAAGAGAGAGAAAAGAGGGCAGAGGAGTGGTGAGAATGATGGAAGGGAGCAGAGAAAAGCACTAAAATTAGACTCCTGAGGGAGAGGCACAAGGACATTGAAAGATGGAGATGTGGGGATGAATTGCAGAGATTCCAAAGAGAACTAGAGAGACCGAGAGGCAGAGCAAGACAGATGATAGATGGATAGATATAGATAGATGATAAATAGGTAGATGATAGATAATAGGTTATAGATACATAGATGATGATTGATTGATTCATTAATAGATGAGACATAGAGATGATGATGATGAAGACAGATAGATAGATAATACATAGAGATACAGAGGCAGACATAGAGAAATCATAGAGAGAGAGAGATGATACATAGATATAGATAATAGATGATTGATGGATAGATAGACAATTGATGGATAAATAGATGATATATAGATATAGATGACAGGTAGAGAATTTGTAGATAGGCACCGAATAGATAAATAGATAGATCGATAGATAATAGATAGAAATATGCAGAAAGTTATGAACAGGACACAAAGTGAGAAACTCAGAATTAAAAAAAGTAACATCAAGTCAACCAATCCAAGGAGAGTCAGAGAGAATAAAACAATCCAAAAAGAGAAAACATATCTAGAGGTGGGGAAGTGAGGTCAGAGACCTAGAGAGACAGAGAAGGTGGAAGGAGGAAATAGACATGAAGAGCGATGGGGTAGAGGGTGAGAGAGAGAGAGAGAGAGCATTAGGTCATAGAACAGGGGAGTGAGTTCTCAGCTCAGGTGAAGGGAGCTGTGACAAAGAAGATCCTCCCTGAGGAAACTGCCTCTTCTCCTTCCAGGTCTATATGAGAAACCTTCTCTCTCAGCCCAGCTGGGCCCCACGGTTCTGGCAGGAGAGAATGTGACCTTGTCCTGCAGCTCCCGGAGCTCCTATGACATGTACCATCTATCCAGGGAAGGGGAGGCCCATGAACGTAGGCTCCCTGCAGGGCCCAAGGTCAACGGAACATTCCAGGCTGACTTTCCTCTGGGCCCTGCCACCCACGGAGGGACCTACAGATGCTTCGGCTCTTTCCATGACTCTCCATACGAGTGGTCAAAGTCAAGTGACCCACTGCTTGTTTCTGTCACAGGTGAGGAAAGCCCATGGCTGTCCCATGTCCTATGATCCTAGAGCCTTAGCTGAGGAGCTTCCTGCTGAGGATGGAGAGAAGCATGGACAGATGCAGAGAGAAGACGCAGCCTCGGTGTGAGGGAGGGATCAGGGCACAGGATGGCCGACAGGGCACCTCCAAACCCTCCTACATGGCCTGCATGGAGGCCCACGGCCAGGGCTCCAGGCACCCAGGCAGATGGAGAAAGCGGTCAGGAGAGACCCAGAGGAGGGAGACTGGGCTCAGTTTGGGGAGATCAGAGGTTCCCTCAGCCCCTCAACCTTACCCATTTCCCAGAAGCCCATCCTGGCCTCTCACCCACACAGAGATGTCATCACCAGCAACCCCTACACCCTTTACTTTTCTTTGAAGAAATATTTATTGAGGATAAATATACCTATATAGCTTACCACTTTTAACATTTTTTTTTGAGGTGGAGTCTAGCTCTGTCCCCTATGATGGAGTGCAGTGGCACAATCTCAGCTCACTGCAACCTCCGCCTCCTGGGTTCAAGCGATTCTCCTGCCTCAGCCACCTGAGTAGCTAGTGCTACAGGCACGCACCACCACGCCAGGCTACTTTTTGTATTTTTAGTAGAGAGGTGGTTTCACCATGTTGGTCGAGCTGGTCTCGAACTCCTGACCACGTGATCCACCCGCATCAGCCTCCCAAAGTGCTGGGATTACAGGCATGGGCCACCAGGCCCAGCCACATTTACCATTTTTAAGTGTAAAGTCTAGTGGTCATAAATACATTTTTATATATATATATATATACATTTTTTTTACCCTCCACCCTTTTCTTCCTGTCCTCCAGTAGCCACCATTCTACTCTCTACCTTCATGAGATCCACCTTTTAGCTCCTGTATATGGGTGAGAAATGGGAATCTTTTTAATGACCTCCAGTTCCATCCATGTGGCTGCAAATGACAGGATGTTATTCTTTCTATGGATGAGTAGTCTCCACTGTGCGTATGTACTACATTCTCTCTATCCATTCACCCACTGATGGGCAGGTAGGTTGACTCCTCATCTTGGCTACTGTGAACAGTGCTGCACCAATCATACGAGTGCAGATATCACTTCGATATGTTGATTTACTTTCCTTTGGATATAAACCCAGTAGTGAAATTGCTGGATACTATGAAAGTTCTCTTTTTTTTTTTTTTTTCTTTTTTGAGAAAGAGTTTCCCTCCTTAGCCCAAGCTGGAGTCAAAGTGGTGCAACCTTGGCTCATTGCAACCTCCGCCTCCTGGGTTCAAATGATTTTCCTGCCTCAGCCTCCCTAGTAGCTGGGATTACAGGTGCACACCACCATGCCTGGCTACTTTTTGGTTTTTTTAGTATAGATGCGGTTTCCCCATGTTGGCTGGGCTGCTCTCAAACTCATGACCTCAACTGAGGTGCCCGCCTCAGTCTCCCAAAGTGCCGGGATTACAGGCATGATCCACCTCACCCAACCTCTTTTTAGTTCTTTAAAGGACTTCCATACTTTTCTCCGTAATGGCTGTACTAATTTACACTCCTCCCAACAGGGTACCAGGGTTCTCCTTTCTCTACCACCTTGCCAGCATTTCTTTTGCCTGTCTTGCAGCTAAAAGCCATTTTATTTTATTTCATTTTATTTTGAGATGGAGTTTTGCTCTTCTCACCCAGGCTGGAGTGCAGTGGCGCTATCTCGGCTCACCACAACCTCCACCTCCCAGGTTCAAGCGATTCTCCTGCCTCAGCCTCCCGAGTAGCTGGAATTACAGGCACACGCCACCACGCCCTACTAATTTTTGTATTTTTAGTAGAGACAGCGTTTCTCTATGTGGGTCAGACTGGTCTCAAACTCCCAACCTTATGAGATTCACCCACCTCAGGTTCTCAAAGTTCTAGGATGACACAAGTGAGCCACCTCACCCGGCCTAAAAGCCATTTTAATGGGGTGAGATGAAAACTCACTTTGATTTTAATTTGCGTTTCTCTGATGATGAGTGATACTGAGCACTTTTTCGTATGTGGGGAAATTTCATGTCTTTTGCTCCTTTTTCAATTAAATCATTTGTTTTATTGAGTTGTTTGAGCTTCTTATATTTCTAGTTATTAATCCCATCTCAGATGCATAGTTTGCACATATTTGCTCCCAATCTGTGGGTTGTCTCTTCACTTTGTTGGTTTATTTTTAGCAGTGCTGAAGTTGCTTAGTTTGAGGTAATCCCAATGGTCTATTTTTGCTTCGATTACTTGTGTTTTGAAGGTTTAAAACAAAATGTCTTCCTTCAGACAAACGTCCTGGAGCATTTCCCCAATATTTTGTTCTACGTGTTTCATAGGTTCAGGCCTTAGACTCACATCTTTAATCCATTTTCATTTGATTTTTGTGTATGGTGACAGGTAGAGTTGCAGTTTCATTCCTCTGCATGTAGATGTCCAGGTTTCCCTGCACTGTTTATTGAAAAGACTGTCCTTTCCTGATTGTGAGTTCTTGGCATCTTTGTCAAAGTCCATTGGATGGGCTGGGCTTGGTGGCTAACACCTGCAATTTCAGCACTTTGGGAGCCCGAGGTGGGTGGATCACCTGAGGCCAGGAGTTCAAGATTAGTCTGGCCAACGTGATGAAACATCGTCTCCACTAAAAATATAAAAATTAGCTGAGCATGGTGGTCAGCACCTGTAATACCACTACTCAGGAATTTGAGGCAAGAGAATGATTGAACCCAGGAGGCTGAGGTTGCAGTGAACCGAGATTGCACCTCTGCACTCCAGCCTGAGTGACAGAGCAAGACTCCATCTCAAAAGAAAAAATAAAAAACCATTGGATGTAAATGCATGGAATATATCTGTGTTATTCATTCTGCTCCGTTGTTCTATGTGCCTTTCTTTATGCCAATGTCATGCTATTTTGCTTACTACAGCTCTGTAACATATTTTGAGATCAGGTAGTGTGATGCTCCTGTTTTCTCTTTATATCTTGAAGTCTCAAGACAGTGGGTGTCATATAAAAAAATTATGGAAAAAAGGATCCCAGGACTCCCAGGGCTCAATATTAGATAAGAGAGTGTTGGCCATGAACCATCCTCAAAGATTTCCACTGAGTGGAGGACAGACACCCTCATTTCCTCACCTCTCTCCTGTCTCATGTTCTAGGAAACCCTTCAAATAGTTGGCCTTCACCCACTGAACCAAGCTCCAAAACCGGTGAGTACAGAACCCTCTTATATCCGCTTTTGGAACCCTGGGGAGGTGGGAACCTTGGATTCAGGCGTTGACTCAGCATCTCACAGCTCTGACATTGTACACTTGTCTTCCACCATCTCCGAACTCCAGATACTCCTACAGCGAAAGGGATCTGGGCCCAACACAGGGCTCAGTGAAATCTCTTCATCTCTCATTTTATGGAGCTGAGACCTCCTACAAGCTAGAAGAATGATTGCCAATCTGACATCCTTCTCAGGAAAAATGCAATGTTTGTTCTACCTGCATTCCTAACTGGAGGATAAATTCCTGGAGACTTGAGAGAGGGAAGGGAAGGGAACATCTGATGAGGGCAAGGTGTTTTAGAGAAGTTCCACTTGCCAAGGAATGAGCTCCTGTAGGTCATGAAGCAACCCTGGCTGACTCCGCAGAGAAAGAGCCTTGCCGTAACAGAGAACAGAGCTCATGCACGCACACTTCGACTCACTGACTCATTCAGCCACGGCCCCATGCTCAGGCTGTGCAGTGTGGAACCTTTTCCTATTGTTGCCATAACAAATTTCCACAAGATTCGTGGGTGAAAACAAAACGGTTTTTTAATTATCTTACAGTGCTGTAGCTCAAAGTAGGAAGTGCATCTTACTGGGCTAAAATCAAGGTGACAGCAAGGCTGCCTTCCCTCTGAGGATTCCAGGCACGAATCTGCTTCTCACTTGTCCCAGCTTCTAAAGGCTCCCAGTTCCTTGGCTCCTGGTCCCCTTCCTCCTTCCTCAAAGCCCACAAAGACTGGTCACATCTCACATGGCATCACTCAGTGCCTTCTTCCTTACCACACCTCTTTCTCTGAGTGCTGCTCTCCCTTCTTCCTCATCTTTTGAAAACTTGGGGATTCTATTGGGTTCACCAAGATGAAAATCCCTCATAATCTCCTGGAAATCATCCAGGATACCCTTGTTTTAAGTTCAGCTGATTAGCAACCATAATTCCATCTGCAATCTTCATTCCTCCTTTCCATGTAAAATAACATATTCACAAGCTATGGAGGCTAGGACAGGGACATTTTGGGGTGGGACAGCATTCTCCTGCCTTCCACAAACAGTGAACAAGATGCATTTGGCCTCTGCCCTTGGGACACTGATATTGCAGATGGTTAAATGGGAGGGCAGAAAATGAACGCACAAGTGGATCTATAAATGAATGGTCCATTGGGAAGCATCTGTGCATGAAATCTATTTTTTGTTTGTTCTTTTGTTTATTGAGACAGAGTCGCCCTCTGTCTTCCAGGCTACAGTGCAGTGTCACGATCTTGGCTCACTGCAACCTGCGTCTCCTGGATTCAAGTGATTCTCCTGCCTCCGCCTCTCGAGTAGCTGGGATTACAGGCAACTGCCACCGTGCCCGGCTAATTCTTTTTGTATATTTTTTGTAGAGAGGATGTTTCACCACGTTGGCCAAGCTTGTCTGAAACTCCCAACCTCAAGTGATCCGACCGTCTCAGCATGCCAAAGTAATGGGACTACAGGCGTGAGCCACTGTGCCCAGCCAGAATTCAAAATCAATAATAGATAATGCTGAGTGTATGATTTCAGGTGACAAAGAAGGTCTCACTATTCAGATATTTGTGACATTAATGAAAAACACGGAATGAACCCCTGAAAGATTGGCGGAAGGATTTTGCACACACAGCTGTCAGCCATGAAGGCACAAAGGTGAAAACAATCTGATGTGGAAGGAAGAGGCTCTGACTCAAATGCTGGGAATGAGGTGGGGAGAATGACAAGACGACTGTAGAGAGACGGAGAGCACACTGGGTACACAGGAAACTAAGGAGCAACAAGGAGTGTGTGTTTGACACTCACAGCCATTGGATTCACCTCGGGGTAACCAGGAATCCCTACATGATTAATATGACTGACATGAAAATAAGGGAGGCCCAGGTGCATAACTGGAATCTAGGAGACCGTGGAAAAGGCAATTGCCGCCCCACTGGTGAAATGTGGTGCTGATTTAGACACTAAATGAATGAAGTAGATGGATATAAGATATGTTTGTGAGGTAGAATCATTGACTGGAAAGGCTTACTGGGTTTGATTTTCCTACTTGTTTAATCCTCGCTTAATTAATTTCTTTCTGAGATTTATTCATCCTACACATAAATCAATACCTGGCAAAGGAGTGACAGATATATGAGTGGTGGTGGAAATGAAGAGACTTATTATAGCATAATATACAAGTCTGTGAACAGTGGCTCACGCCTGTAACCTAGCACTGCAGGAGGCCAAGGTGGGTGGATTCCATGAAGTCAGGAGTTCCAGACCAGCCTGGCCAACGTGGTGAAACCCTATCTCTACTAAAAATACAAAAATTAGCCGAGCACGATGGTGCATCCCTGTAATCCCAGCTCCTATTCTGGAGGATGAAGCAGGAGAATGACTTCAACCCAGTAGGTGGAGGTTGCAGTGAGTGGAGATTGCATCACTGCACTCCAGCCTGGGGGACACAAGGAGACTCTATCTCAAAAAATAAAAATAAGAAATACATAAATATAATAAAACACACACGAATGACAAAGGCACCTGAATTCCAATCATCGTTTTTCTATTTCTCTATAATTACTTCTTTGATCCTTTATCTTATCCATTAGGCAATGAGCCTAAAACCTCTTCCCTATTTGGCTTTCTGTGAGCATGAGATCATATAGAAAATGTGAAAGCCCGCTGAATCCTCCAGCACAGATCCTGGAATAGAGAAAGTGCTCTGGTCATCACAAAAAAAACTTGCCCACTCACCCAAATCCCCCACCTCACCCCTACTTCCAATCACCTGTGGAGATTCAGATAGACCATGGGGAGGTAAACATTAACACTCCTTGGAGTGAGTCCAGATCTTGGAATCAGAGATCAGCGACAGCACTAGCTCCTGCTCCCCTTTCCTACTAATTCACAGGAGGACAGGTGGTTTTGAAGCAATAGATGGCCGAGGGGGTGGTCCTTCCCCCAGCCTCTCGGGTAGAACAGCAGCCTAATATGTGTCTCCCGAGATCACAAAGAGCAGCAGGTTTCACACGGGCTTCAACACTATTTCCTGGCCGTTTGACATAAGAGAATTCTATTTCGCTTTTTTTATCTTGATTTCACTTTTGTTTTCTTTCCTTGGAGAATGCAAGTTGTTTGATTCAAGAATGCTGTGGATGTAGAAACCCTAAAGCACATTCGCTGTGAATCAATCCCAGTCCAGTCTTCCCAGAGAAGACTCTAAACACCTCCTGGACTGCACCTGGGCCTATGCCAATTCCTATCACTCACCGTCACTCCAGGGAGACAGAACACACAGAGAATACGTTACATAGGCAGGTTCATTACTAACAGATAAGCAGCGAGTGACAACAGAAACCTATATTTCAATGTGACCCAGTCCCTCAAGGCTCAGAAAAGCTCCTCGGGACATATGGAGTCACCCCATTTGCAGTGTAGCTGCGGGAAGCCAGAAAGCAGCCCAGCCTGGGTTTTGTACCCTGGAGCCACAGGAAGCACTCAGCTAAAGCACTGCATGACGTCCTCCAGGAAGAACAGGAAGACAGCCCAGGGTGTTCTGAGACGTTCCTCCTGATCTCAGGAAGTTGCTGTCTTAGGCCATTTTTGTTGCTCTAAAGGAACACTTGAGCCTCGGTAACTTCTAAAGAAAAGAGATTGGTTTGCCTCACCGTTCTGCAGGCTGTACTGGAAGCATGGCACCAGCATCTATTTCTCGTGACGGCCTCAGGCTGCTCCCACTCTGGCAGAAGGGAAGGAGGGTCTGTCTGTGCAGAGACCACAGAGATCACACGGCAAGAGAGGGAGCAAGGGGGAGGGGGAGTGATGGAGCTTCCAAGCTCTTTTTAACAACCAGCTCTCCGGGAACTAATAGAGGGGGAACTTGCTAACCCCGTCTCCTTGGGACAGCATTGATGTGTTCATGATGGATCCACCTCCATGACCCAAACACCTCTCAAGAGGCCCAACCTCCCACAGTGGGGGTGAAATTTCAATGTGAGGTTTGAAGGGGTCAAACATCTCAACTAAAGTAGTCGTATCCTCAGCACGTTCTATGGTTACTATGAGAGCTATAACTGAAAAAGCAGGAGAAAGCTGGGTCTCCTGCCATCTGGGTGCTTGTCCTAAAGAGGTGTTTTATGTGGTTACCTGTCAATCAAGAAATGCGAGACAATTCATAAAGAGGAACTGCTAAGATTAGCTTCTTATTGGTGTCTCATCTTCTTCCAGGTAACCCCCGACACCTGCACATTCTGATTGGGACCTCAGTGGTCATCATCCTCTTCATCCTCCTCTTCTTTCTCCTTCATCGCTGGTGCTCCAACAAAAAAAGTAAGTCTCACGAAGCAGAGGCCAGAGAGCTCAGGGCCATGTGGGGAAGCAGGATGGGAGCACTCAGGTGTGTGTTCCTCACAAACAGGATGGTCCCTGGCCCAAGGCAGCAGCCACAGAGGCAGGACTTTCTAGAGAGGGCACCAGACTCCCTGTCCCTGCCTTCAACTCACAGACCGTTGCCTGATTCTGAACTGTATCCCCATGTCCCCTGCAGCCACTCACATCCAGGAGAAGGTTCCATGACAGGCAGAAAGTGGGAGACAGAATCAATGGGATGGGAACTCAGAGCTATTCATGGGATGGGTCCTTGAGCTCAGAGAGATAGAATGTCTGAGTCTGCTGTTGGCAACTGAGGGACCTCAGCCACCTATGGTCTCCCCCTGTATGTTGGTATCTGCTTATGAAATGAGGACCCAGAAGTGCCCTCCGAGCTGTTTTGTTGACTTCCATCTTCTACAGATGCTGCGGTAATGGACCAAGAGTCTGCAGGAAACAGAACAGCGAATAGCGAGGTAGGTACTCCTCGGCCCGGGCTCGTGGCTACTGTTATTCCCAAAGAGTCCTGGAAAATGTGAGCACCCTCCCTCACTCAGCATTTCCCTCTCTCCAGGACTCTGATGAACAAGACCCTCAGGAGGTGACATACACACAGTTGAATCACTGCGTTTTCACACAGAGAAAAATCACTCGCCCTTCTCAGAGGCCCAAGACACCCCCAACAGATATCATCGTGTACACGGAACTTCCAAATGCTGAGTCCAGATCCAAAGTTGTCTCCTGCCCATGAGCACCACAGTCAGGCCTTGAGGGCGTCTTCTAGGGAGACAACAGCCCTGTCTCAAAACCGGGTTGCCAGCTCCCATGTACCAGCAGCTGGAATCTGAAGGCGTGAGTCTGCATCTTAGGGCATCGATCTTCCTCACACCACAAATCTGAATGTGCCTCTCACTTGCTTACAAATGTCTAAGGTCCCCACTGCCTGCTGGAGAAAAAACACACCCCTTTGCTTAACCCACAGTTCTCCATTTCACTTGACCCCTGCCCACCTCTCCAACCTAACTGGCTTACTTCCTAGTCTACTTGAGGCTGCAATCACACTGAGGAACTCACAATTCCAAACATACAAGAGGCTCCCTCTTAACGCAGCACTTAGACACGTGTTGTTCCACCTTCCCTCATGCTGTTCCACCTCCCCTCAGACTAGCTTTCAGTCTTCTGTCAGCAGTAAAACTTATATATTTTTTAAAATAACTTCAATGTAGTTTTCCATCCTTCAAATAAACATGTCTGCCCCCATGGTTTCGGTAATGGGACTCTTTTCTTGCCTAAGGCTTCCGGTGTTATCAGTACCATGTCCATATAATCCCATCTGTTCCCCACTGAGTTCTCATCCCCGGACTCTGAGTTTCTGGAAGCAGGGTGGAGCCTCATTTGTCTCTGGGACTCCAATTTCCATCCAAAGATGTAGCACATAGGAGGTTCCAAGGATCACGAATCATATGAACAAGTGATACTCTTACTCTCTGCAGACCTGGAAAGCTGGCAGAGTCATTCCACAATGAAACATTTGTAGAATCATAGGCCTTGTTAGTCTCATCTCCATGGGGACACATATCAACACATCATCTTTCATAATATAAATATACGGTCACTCCTCCATATCTGCGGGGTTTACAGGTGTTTATTGAACCAAGTATAAATCAAAAATATTGAGAGAAAGTATCCACAGAGTTTCAAAAAGCATAACTATGTTGAATGGACACAAATGAAGCTGTGTGTAGGCTGTATCAGGAATTATAAGTAATCTAGAGATGATTTCATGTATACAGGAGGATGTGCATAGGTTATTTGCAAACGCTGTGCCATTTCATATAAGAGGCTTGAGCATCTACAGATTTTGGTATCTGAGTGGAGATCTCAAAACCAATCACCCACGAATAGTGAAGGATGACCGTATATGACTTTTATTTCTCAAATTTAAATATAAATCATAAAAAATGTACAACTAGATAAAAACTAAGAAGTGTTTTTATAGTGTGAGTTAGATTTATTTTTTCCTAGGTGTAACCAATTGGTTTAATATTATTTATTGAGAAGACATTCTATGCCACCTTAAACCACACGGCAGCCTTTGTCAACTCTAAAGGGACTGTGTGTACATGGATGTATTTTAGACACTGTTTCTGCTAAGGGGCTCTCTGTGTCCACACTCTTGATGATGCTGCACTTTATGTAGCCTTATAGAACCCTTTAAATTTAGTAGCCAGAGCCCTCTAATTTGTTATTATAGGCTGTTTGCTTTTTTTTTCTTGAGGCGGAGTCTTGCTCTGTCGCCCAGGCTGGACTGCAGTGGCACAATCTCAGCTCACTGCAACCTCCGCCTCCCAGGTTCAAGCGATTCTCGTGCCTCAGCCTCTTGAGTAGCTGGCGTTACAGGTGCCTGCCACCAGGCACGGCTAATTTTTGGATTTTTAACAGAGACACGGTTTCACTATATTGGCCAGGCTGCTCTCAAACTCCTTATCTCAGTTGATCCGCCCACCTCGGCTTCCCAACGTGCTGGGGAAAACTTGATTTTCTATAGCATTATGTTACTGGATATTTCTGTAAAATTTAAAACGAGGGAGGGAGAGAGACAGACAGAGAGCAAACTCCAGAGTTGGGACTCTGGAATCTTGGGTCATGAGACAAATTTTAGATTAAACTACAAAACTCCAGAATTTACAGGTGTGGTTTTTGCTGATAAAGTACAATTCTAAGATTGTAAATAATTGCATAATCCTTCCCTGGGAATTTAAATCATTTTAGCTGGTTCTGCTGTAATACTAGAAATACAAGCATGAAAAATTCTAATGGTTTATTAGTCACAATGACTCCGAAAACATTAATAATACCTATTAGATACTTTGCATATTACACAGGAAGAAGAGTTTGAATCTCAGATAAAAACAAAAAAAATACATGAAAAGTCTTTCATGTTAGCACAGATTTTAGGCATCTCGTGTTCGGATAAAAATACATGAAAAGTCTTTCACGTTAGCACAGATTTTAGGCATCTTGTGTTCGGGAGGTTGGATCTGAGACGTGTTGTGAGTTGGTCATAGTGAAGGACGTGAGGTGCCAATTCTAGTGAGAACAATTTCCAGGAAGCCGTGTTCCGCTCTTGAGCAAGCATCCACTGGGCCTCATGCAAGGTAGAAAGAGCCTGCGTACGTCACCCTCCCATGATGTAGTCAACATGTAAGCTGCATGGGCAGGGCGCCAAATAACATCCTGTGCGCTGCTGAGCTGAGCTGGGGCGCGGCCGCCTGTCTGCACCGGCAGCACCATGTCGCTCATGGTCGTCAGCATGGCGTGTGTTGGTGAGTCCTGGAAAGGAATAGAGGGAGGGAGTGCCACATCCTCCTCTCTAAGGTGGCGCCTCCTTCTCCCCCAGGTGGTCAGGACAAGCCCTTCCTCTCTGCCTGGCCCAGCCCTGTGGTGTCTGAAGGAGAACATGTGGCTCTTCAGTGTCGCTCTCGTCTTGGGTTTAACGAATTCAGTCTGTCCAAAGAAGACGGGATGCCTGTCCCTGAGCTCTACAACAGAGTATTCCGAAACACCGTTTTCATAGGCCCTGTGACCCCAGCACATGCAGGGACCTACAGATGTCGGGGTTCACACCCACACTTCCTCACTGGGTGGTCAGCACCCAGCAACCCCCTGGTGATCATGGTCACAGGTCAGAGGGCTCCTGTCTGGGATTCTCCTTGTCCCACCTCCTGAGTCCCAGAGCTTCTGGTGGGAGTGTCCACCAGCGTCCCATCATCCAGACCCTAACTGTATTTGGGGTAAAAGGGGATTGAATACAGGGAAATGGGTGCTGTGGTGGAAAGAATAATTGTCCCCAATGATGACTGCATTCTAATCCCTGCAGTCTGTGACTATTTATGTTATAGGGGAAGGCACTGAAGGGGAAGATGGAGCTCAGGTTGTTGAGTTGACCTTGAGATGGGGAGACAGCCTGGACTGTCCTGCTGGGCTCAGTGTAATCACAAGGGTGCACATGAGAGGAGAAGGAAGAGGGGAGTGGCGATTAGAGCAGTGCAATGGAAGTCTCCATCAGCTTTGAAGGTGGAGGAAGGCCATGAGCCATGAATGCAGGTGGCCTATAGAGGCTGGAAAAGTCAAGGAACTGATTCTCCTGGGTCTCCAGAGGGAACGCAGCCCTGCAGATGCCTTGATTTTAGCCCTCAAAAAACAGGGTCCGATTTCTGTCTCCAGAAACGGAAGGGGTCAGTGTGCTCTCTCCTGCTGCCATGCTTCTGATAATTTTCCACAGCACCAACAGGAAACCAACACTGGAACCCAGGTCAAGGACAAGATAAGAAAGGACACAAGGATAGCCGGGCGTGGTGGCAGGTGCATGTAATCCTAGCAACTCAGGAGGCTGAGGGCAGGAGAATCACTTGAACCCAGGAGACAGAGGTTGCAGTGAGCCTAGACCACACCACTTCACTCCAGCCTGGGTGAAGGAGTGAGACTCTGACTCCAAAATTAATTAATTAATTAAAGAAACCAAACAAAGAGAAGGTTGGCTACACCGAGATCAGCAAGGGTGGGATGATGATGCCACCACCAGGCTCCATCCACATAGGGAGGGGTTGATACTCCTCAAACCAGCACCAGAAGCCAGCCTATGGAAGCTGGCACCATGGAGAAGGCACAGGCATGGCAAGAGTGGCTCCCAGTCCCCACCAGGAACAGGGTGTGTGGACACTGGTGCCTGCCTTACTGATCAGTTCATACCTTCTGCCAAGGATTCCAATTCGTCCAAAAGAGATTGAACCAGTCTGCTAAGAGCCTGGACGTGCAGCCTATCCTGGTTCCTCTTCCACCCCCACATAGAAGCAGGAAAGACATTAGTTCGAAATAGATACAACAGCCCAAGAGATGAGGCTGAGCCCAGCGGCAAGGGAATCAGGAGCTACTAGAGACAGAGGGACAGAGAAGAGGGAGGGAGACAGATGGAAGGACCTGTACCAGGAGTTATGGGCACAGAAAAGAACATGAAGACACAGAGAGGAAGGAGAGAGATAAGACACCAGCGAGGGGAAGCCTCACTCATTCTAGGTGCCATGGATGGGATGATAAAGAGAGATGCCTTCTAAAGTCACAACCTCTCTTCCTAGGAGTCCACAGAAAACCTTCCCTCCTGGCCCACCCAGGTCCCCTGGTGAAATCAGAAGAGACAGTCATCCTGCAATGTTGGTCAGATGTCATGTTTGAGCACTTCCTTCTGCACAGAGAGGGGAAGTTTAATGACACTTTGCGCCTCACTGGAGAGCTCCATGATGGGGTCTCCAAGGCCAACTTCTCCATCGGTCGCATGACGCAAGACCTTGCAGGGACCTACAGATGCTACGGTTCTGTTCCTCATTCCCCCTATCAGTTGTCAGCTCCCAGTGACCCTCTGGACATCGTGATTACAGGTGAGAGTGTCTGGACATTATTCTCATTGTCACTGGGACACAGAGTGAATGATCCACGACTTGGAGGCCCAGGTGGTTATAAGGAAGATGAGCTTGGTATTCTTATGGAGAGAGACTAACTTGGTGAGGTCTGTACCAACAGAGACAGAGAAACAGGAGACACAAGTACAGACCAGGTGTCATAACAGAGGACAGACACAGGGGCCATACAGGGAGTTAGAAAAGACAGAAAGAGTTAAAGGAGACACAGACAGACATGTGCCAGAGAGAGGTGTCCTTCCATGCTGACTTTGCTCAGAGACCTGGCACAGGTTAGAAGTTTCATTTCTGTTTTACTTCCACAAAGTGTTCTCTACCAGAAGAACCCAAGGACACCCATATTTCTGGCCTGAGTTGGGCCCTGTGGCCTCAGGCCTTCTGGCACCTACAGATGCCGTGTTTATTCTGACACCTCTGCCTTCCATGCAATGGAGAGTAATCGTCCCAGGATATCATGGCCCCAGAACATCAACCCCTGTATACTGTGTGAACTTGCGGTCCCCAGACTGGATTCTGAGGCTCACATTCCAAATAACCCCACATATGAGAGGATCACTGAGAGACACAGAGAGAAATCAGGGACACCAAAAAGCAAAGACATAAACACACAGAGAATGAGCCAGAGGAAGGAGATTGAGAGACTCACAGACACATAAAGAGGGAGAAAAGAGGGCAGAGAAGTGGAGAGAACAATGGAAGGGAACAGAGAAAAGCACTAAAATTAGAGTCCTGAGGGAGAGACACAAGGACATAGAAAGATGGAGATGTGGGGATGAATTGCAGAGATTCCAAAGAGAACTAGAGAGACCGAGAGGCAGAGCAAGACAGATGATAGATGGATAGATATAGATAGATGATAAATAGGTAGATGATAGATAATAGGTTATAGATACATAGATGATGATTGATTCATTCATTGATTAATCGATGATACATAGAGATGATGAAGATGAAGATAGATAGATAATACATAGAGATAGAGAGGCAGACAAAGAGAAATCATAGAGAGAGAGAGACGATACATAGATATAGATAATAGATGATTTTTGGATAGACAATTGATAGATAAATAGATTATATATAGATATAGATGACAGGTAGAGAATTTGTAGATAGGCACCAAATAGATAAATAGATATATCGATAGATAATAGATAGAAATATGCAGAAAGTTATGAACAGGACACAAAGTGAGAAACTCAGAATTTAAAAAAAGTAACATCAAGTCAACTAGTCCAAGGAGAGTCAGAGAGAATAAAACAATCCAAAAAGGGAAAACATATCTAGAGGTGAGAAAGTGAGGTCAGAGACCTAGAGAGACAGAGAAGGTGGAAAGAGGAAATAGACATAAAGAGAGATGGTGTGGAGGGTGAGACAGAGAGAGAGAGCATTAGGCCATAGAGCAGGGGAGTGAGTTCTCAGCTCAGGTGGGAGGGGAGTTGTGACAAGGAAGAACCTCCCTGAGGAAACTGCCTCTTCTCCTTCCAGGTCTATGTGGGAAACCTTCTCTCTCAGCCCAGCCGCGCCCCATGGTTAAGGCAGGAGAGAGCGTGACCTTGTCCTGCAGCTCCCGGAGCTCCTATGACATCTACCATCTATCAAGGGAGGGGGAGGCTCATGAACTTAGGTTCCCTGCAGTGCCCAAGGTCAATGGAACCTTCCAGGCCAACTTTCCTCTGGGCCCTGCCACCCACGGAGGGACCTACAGATGCTTCGGCTCTTTCCGTGACTCTCCCTACGAGTGGTCAGACCTTAGTGACCCACTGCTTGTTTCTGTCACAGGTGAGGAAACCAGTCTGTTCCCCAAATAGTGGGACTCAGATGGACTACAATGGCCACATTCAGGGGAGCCTCAGATGGAGGGGGTGGCCATGGGGGTGTCAGCCAGAGATGCTGGACAGAAGAGACACAAAGCAAACATACAGAAAGAGGCATAGACAGACAGACAGAGCGAGGCAGACAGATCACATTAGGGTTTGGGGTGGTAACTGCAACCCTACCTGAAGCTTGCAGATAGAGCACAGGCCACATAAACCACTTCCCAGTCTTTGTACAGAAGCCCACCTGGGACACATGTAAACAGCATCAATGCTGACTCAGGAGCATGAAAGGCCGGGCTCAGATTGGAAAGACTAGAGGTAGCATTGGCCGCCCGCCATTGCCCATTTCCAGAAGCCCCCACCTCTCACCAAAGAGTGATTTCCACATGGGGGGCACAGATGCAACCATCGTTGGGGGAGCCCCAATGTCTCTTGATGGGAGGCATTTTCCACCCTAGATGTTTTTTGCTCTCTCCACACCTTGGAGACTCAGTGGGGGAGTCTTCTCTGGGGACTCGGGGAGGGCCTCCCTGGGACTCGCAGGATTTCCAAGCTAGATGACAACATGACAGGTGGAAACAGGCCCATTCCTTCGCCAGGGGCCCCAAGCTCCATCCCAGGAGATGAGAAGAGGCTCTTCTCATTGGTCAGTGGATCCCTGAGGGGACAGAGGCTCAGCACTGAAGGCTGAGAAGGATCTGCCACTTCGCTCAGTGGCCTCAAGCCAGACATCTTCCCTACAGACTTGCAGTGATTCTCCATCAGCATTTAGGGCTGTGGCCACCAACCTGGGTGTTGGTCTGTAGGAACTTTTCATTTCTGACCTTCCATAACTGAGTTCTCTTCCTAAATGTGGAATGCCTTGTACTCCATGTTACTCTCTCCCCAGAAAGAATGTGTGGCTTGTCTGCTCTCCAGCCCTGTCATGGAGATTGATAATCCTTAGGGAGCAAGAGGAGAGGGAAAGAACAAAGTATGAGACCACCTAGGTGCTACTGGTTGAGGTTCCATTTGCCAGTGAAGGGACTTCACTCAGCCGAGGGGGCAACTCAGGGAAGTCAGCCGAGGGAGGGCATTAGAGTAGAGAGAACTGAGCTCACCCAGTAAATGACCCCTTCACTAACTCATTCATCTAATATTTATTTCACACCTACCATCAGTTCTCTCTGTTTCATGGCCAGGAGTAGACAGCACGGCCAAGCTCCTGGGTTCATGATGCTCACATTGCTGTGGGGTGGGAGAGAGAGGCAGAACATGAATGAATGAATGAGAGAATGAATGAATGAGTGAATGATGGAATGAGTGAATGAATGAATGAATGAATGTATGAATTAGTGAGTGAATCCTTAGCACTTGGTGAAAGTGCCATGCACAGAATGAAATGAATGAACGTGGAACGTTGTCATTTGGAGTGTACAGGAGGGAACGTCTCACTGAGACCTCATCAGAGAGATCACATTTAAACTCCGATCTTAGAGACAAGAGGGAGTGAGCCCTGGGGAGTGTGTTGAAAGGAACTTTCATGGACTTAGGACATTGGGGATGACCCTAATGTGAGAATGAGCTTGGTGTGTTCCAAGAAGTCCATGGACCTGCCATATGGTGAGGGCTGGTCAGAATCCAGAGAGATTTCTAAATGCCCTTGTGCTTGTAAGGAAAGTGAGTCCTGTGGTTGGGAGTGGACTTATACCTTGGGTCAGGTCCAGCAATTATCTTTCTAAATCCTCTCTAATTGCCTGAACCACTTCTATCAACAACTGAGAAAAGAGGAGTGTTAAACACCCCACTGTGGCCGTGGATTTGCCTACCTGTCCATTTATTTCCGCGACTCTTCCTCCATGTATATTTGCAGGAATATTACTGGGAGTGGTTAAGTGTAAACTGATTATATATTCCTGGTAAATTTAAAATGCTATAAATTTACCTGCTTTTTTCCTACATTTTATGCTTAATGTTTTCCGCTGATTTTTCCCAAAGACTAATTTTGTCTAATTTTAATATAGTTATACCACATTTCTAACAGTGATTGCTTGGTATATTTCTACATTGTTTAATTTCAAACTCCATGAATTGTTAACATTGAGATGTGTCCTTTGTAAATTTCAAACAATTCGCCTTAGAAAGTAAGACTTTCTGACAATCTTTTGTTCATGTTTGAGCAGTTCTTCCAATCATATTTTTGTTATTATTACGTTGTGTTTTCCTGATTCCCTTTTTTTCCCACTGACTTCTGTGGTTTTCTATTTCAAACATTCTATTTTTGATCTATGTCGTTTAGGAATACATATATGGTGTACTCATCCTGAAGTTGTTACATATTTTTAAAATTGAAATTAATCATTTCAGAGATTAAACTGCAAATATAAAAACATATTTCCACTCTTCCTGTGTAAGAACAGGATTTTAGAGCATATTTAGTACATATGTTTGTATTTACTTATATGATGTTTTGTTTTGTGGTATACATAATTCTATCTTTTTCAGAAATTACACAGGGGCGTGTTTTCATACACTATCGTATGGTCCATATTCATTTTTGGCATAGCCATATTTTTAGTTCTTCCTCTGCTCTTAGTTATTGTCAGAATCTTCGACACCCCATCTGGTTTCACTTTCTTTATCTTTGAGGCACGGTCATCAGAATTTCCTTTAGGGTCAGTGAGAAAAGCTTTCTTTGCCCTTTTGTCTTTCAGTTCTGTTTCTTTCCTGCGTTGATCTTGGACAGTAACTGTACTATGTAAGGAATTGTCGGTGGCTGGCGACGGTATCTTAGCTGGGTAAAGATGCTATTCTACTGGCTTATGTTTTCCTTTTTTCTGTGGGGAAGACAATGCTTGGCTCCCTATAAATCCTTACCAGCTGATCCTTTTCCTCTGGCTAATTTTAAGGGTTGGTTGTGCTTTTATGCTGCTTTTCTGTAATGTTGAACGTGAGGTGTGTTTACTTCATTCTGCCTGGCATTCACTGGATTTCTTGAACCTGTGGATTGATGGATGTGTCTACTTCCTCCAAATAATCAACAATTGCCTCTTTAAAGATTGCTTCTGACCTGTTTTCTCGTTCTTTCTTTTTGGAACTCAAGTTAGGAGCATTCTAAAACTGTTGTCAATTTTTACCCTGTCACAAAACTGCTCTTTCTTGTTTCAGTTATTTGCTTTTTCTGTGCATTAATATTGATGGTTTCCTCTGTCATAGAGGATAAATACTCTCTTCACTGTTGTGTACACAACATTTTAACTAGTTATTCTGGTTTAAATTTAATATTGACTTTATCTACATATCACAATTGATTACTGTGTACAGACTTTCTTTTCTATTAGTATAAATTTATGAGGTACACTTGTAATTTTGTGACATGAGTATGTTGCAGAGTAGTGAAGTCAGGACTTTTACTATATCCATCACCCAAATACCGTACATTGTACTCATTAAGCAAATTCTCATCACTCACCCACGTCCCGCCACCCTCCAGCCTTCTAGCCTCCGCTGTCCGTCATTCCACACTCTACGTCCATATGTACACATTACTCCCCTCCCATGTAGAGTGAGAAGATGTGGTATTTGTCTTTCTGAGTGGTTTTATGTAAAATAATGGCGTCCAGCTCCATCTATGTTGCTGCAAAAGACATGGTTTTATTTTTATGACCAAATAGTATTTCGTTGTGTATACACGCATCCTTTTTTTAATCCAATCATTCATTCACAGACACTTAGATTGATTTCATATCTTTGCTATTGCAAACAGTGCTGCAATAAACATACAGGTGCAGGTATTTTTTGAGTAGATACCCAGCAGCGGGACCCCTAGATCGAATGGTGCTTCTATTTTTGGTTCTCTGCCAAATTTCCATACTGTCTTCCATAGAGGCTATACTAATTTACATACCGGCCAACAGTGTATAAGAGTTTCCTTTTCTCTGCATCCTTGCCAACACCTGTTATATGTTTCACTTTTTCTTTTTTTCTTTTTGAGATGGAGTCTTCCACTGTCACCCAGGCTGGAGTGCAGTGCCGCCATCTCCACGCGCTGCAACCTCCACCAACCAGGTTCAAATGATTCTCCTGCCTCAGCCTCCTGAGTAGCTGGGATTACAGAACCACACCACCATGCCCAGCTAATCTTTTGTATATTTAGTAGAGATGGGGTTTCACTATGTTGGTCAGGCTGGTCTCAAACTCCTGACCTCATGATCCACCCGCCTCAGCTTCCCAAAGTGCTGGGATTACAAGCGTGAGCCACCACTCCCCACCAGCATTTTTAGTAATAGCCATTCTGACTACTGTAAGATGATATCTCATTGTGGTTTCAATTTGCATTTCTCTGATGATTAGTGATGTTCATACGCTGTTTGGCCATTCGTATGTCTTCTTTTGAAAAATGTCTATGTATATCCCTTTGCCCACTTTTTAATGCTATTATTTGAGGGGTTATGTTTAGTTGTTTGAGTTGCCTAGAAATTCTGGATGTTAGTCCTCTGTTGGGTGCATAGTTTGCAAACATTTCCATTCATTCTGTGGGTTGTCTGTTCACCCTGCTACTATTTCCTTTGCTTGGCAGAAGCTCTTTCGTTTATTAAGTCCCATTGGTCTAGTTTTATTTTTATTGCCTGTGCTTTTGAGGTCTTAGTGATGAATTCTTTGCCCAGACCAATGCCCAGAAGAGTTTCTCTTTGGGTTTCCACCGGTGATTTTATAGTTCTGGATTTACATTTAAGCTGCTAATTACCTTAAGTTAATTTATGTGTATGATTACAGATACAGGTCCAGTTTTATTCTTCTGCATATGGCTATTTAGTTTTCCCAGCACCTTTTATTGAAAAGGAAATCTTTCTCCAGTGTATGTTTTGTTAACGTCGTCAATGATTATTCACTGTAGATATGAGGCTGTATTTCTGGGCTCTCTATTCTGGTCTATTGATCTCTGTTTCTGTGTCTATACCAGCACTGTGCTATTTAAGTTACTATAGCCTTAGAGCATAGTTTGAAGTCAGATAGCGTGATGCCTCCAGGTTTCTACATTCACCTAGAATTGCTTTCTCTATTAGGATCTTTTTTGGTTCTGTATGAATTTTAGGATTGCTTTTTCTAATTCTGTGAAAGCTGGTGTTACTATTTTCATATAAGAATTGCACTGAATCTGTAGATTGCTTTAGGCAGTATGGTCATTTTAACAATATTAATTCTTATGATCCATGAGCGTGGGATTTTTTTTCTTTTTTTTTTTTTGTATTATCTATAATTGCTTTCATTGGTGTCTTACACCTTTCCTGGTACAGCTCTTTCACCACCTTGGTTAAATGTATTCCTGAGTGTTTTAATTTTGCGTATCTATTGTAAACGGCATTGCCTTCTTGATTTGGTTCTCAGCTAGATCATTATAGGTGTAGAGAAATGCTACCGGCTTTTACATATTGATTTTGTATTCTGAAACTTTACTTAGTTCATTTATCAATCATAAGAATTTTTGGCAGGGTCTTTAGGATTTTCTAGATTTAAGATCATAGCATCAGAAATAAAAATAATTTTACTTCCTCTTTTCTAATTTGGATTTTTAATTCTTCCTGTTGCCCAATAGCTCTGACAAGGCTTCCAGTACTATGTTGATAGGAAGTGGTGGATGTCCGTGTCCTTGTCTTGTGCCAGTTCTCAGAGGAGTGCTTTTAACTTTTCCTGTTCAGTATGATGTTGACTCTAGATATGTCATCTATGGCTTTTATTATTTTGAGGTATGTTCTTTCTATGCCTAAGTTTTTGAGGGTTTTCATCAGGTAAGGATGTTGAATTTCTTTTCAGATGCTTTTCTTTATGTCTATTGAGATGATCATATGGTTTTTGTTCTGGATTCTGCTCGTTCTTCTAAGTGGATGAGACATGCCAGAAAAGCATTTAGTCAGCCATCTTGGAAACAAGCATCTCAGATGTTTTCTTTCTCTATAGCTCATTCTTTCTTACCAGTGTTTTCAATTTTGTACTTAATTTTGTAAAGAGAGTAAATGATATAATTTCCACATATGTTTCCTCTGCCAAATCAGACTCACTATGCTTCCTTTCCTTGTATGCATAACCTACCCAGCAATACACACAAACATTTATTGCTTTGGAGAATTAGTTTGGGAACATTTTTGAAATGTACAAAAAAATGTATATCTTCAAAAGAAATTTCTTTTTGTGGCAAAAGACTTCTGAAGGTGCTCATGATGATATAGGGAGAAGAGGGGTTCTGGACAGGAAGAATTTTATGAAGGTGAGATGGGGAAATAGCTCCATTTCAGAGCTTCTGGGGAGAGAGGGGCCTGGCCCACATGGAAAGGTCTCTGATCTTACCCCCACCCTCCAGCCCCTGTTCTCCAGAACTATACTGTGGAGAGTTCCATCAGGATTGTTGTGGCTGGTCTGGTCTTCCTGGCTCTTTTGGCAATGCTGGCTAAGACCTGGTGGAGACATGAGGGGCCACAGGTGGAAATGGAAGAAACATGACTGAAGCTGGCTGGAGTGAATGGCGCGACATTCTGTCTGTGGGAGATTGGCCAGATGGGTTTCAAGTGTGTTGTATCAGCTGTGACTTTTAGTAATGTTCTTGCTACCACAATATCCACTCGTCCATCCCGAATAATTGTGATGAAATATTGTCCTTGGGATAATATTCATTTGCTAAAGACAGGGATGATACCTCAAGGTGCCACTATATACATCGAGGGGATCCACAAAAGTCCATTCAGTAAAATGTAGTTGGCATCTTAGGGTAGGTTGATTCCACCTCTAAAAAAGTAGGTACAACATCAGGTTGATTTTTCCGAAGAAAAGTGGTGATTGGCCATCTTTAGTCTCAATGTAAACGGTAATACTGATGAGTGTGGAAAAGGCAGGGAAGAGGATTGACAATAAGTGACACTCATTGTTTTCATCTGAGCTTTGAGACTGAAAGAGGAACACAGGAGTGAGATGTATGGGAACAAACCCCTTCTTTTTCCAGCTAAACAGAGTGGAAGTTGGACACTGAGTTTTGGCGTACAGCAAAATCCTAAGTCCATTGTTGGGTTGAACACGGCCATGTTGTACATCCTGGTTTCACAGCAGACACTGGAGGAAAACAGCCTGTATTCATAAGAGGCTGTCCCTCGGGTCACTGCCCAGAATATCCGGAGTTGGTGCTCACAGGGTTGGGAACTCTCCTGGACCAGACAGGCTCTGGATATGGGGGGGTACCAAGCTCCCCGGGGCCATGCCTCCACAGCTCTCTTCTCACCTCATTCTTGACCATTTCCCAAACCTCTGACCTCACCTTCATTCATCCATGGTGAACACGCTAAAGCTGGCCTTCAAAGCTTGAGACAGAGGAAAATTGGGCTTCATCTCTGGGAACTAAATTGGGGAGTGGAGACTCAGTTCTGGCCTGACAGGAGGGAGAAGACCCTGGATCCCAGTGTGGATGGGAAGAAGTATGTGTTTCTCTTTTGTGCTTGGACCCTGTGTCCAAGCATGTCTGAGATGTGATGAAGATGAATCTTCCTTTCCTTGTCTATTTTCTCATGCCAGAGAATTGGAATCTTATATTCCATTAACTCTTTCTGTTCTGTTCATCCAGATTCTATGAAGGAGAAAGGAAAAGATGTGATACTGTAATTTTGCTCCATTTGTCTAAAATGAGTAGGCTGCAACTCCTCTTGAAGTGATACCTTTTCTAGCTCTTGTTGGAGGTGTCTCAGGACTCATTACTTCGGGGAACCTGCAACTGTGTCAGTCTGGGGAAACTGCAAATATTCTTGTCTTACATTTGTCTCCAGCCAATTGTGATGGACTCCAGTGACCTGCAATTGCTGTTATTGCAGGTAAAATGTACCTGAGTCAGGCCACAGTTCTCCTGGACTATGAGCCCCTGGCCATGTTCCTGAGGCAATTCTGTTCATCTAAATATAATAATAATAACACACTAAAAATGGCAAGCCATTGTTAATTCCTGAAGTCTCATTTGAAAATTACTAAATGTCTGTTATTTTTTGGTGTTTACATTATATGTAGACAGATAAACTACACACACACACACACACACATGCACACAGAAGAATGGATTGGTTCATGTAGAAAAGTAAATAATTCAAGATGAAAGGATGAAATGTCATGGCACCTACTATTCTATTTTAGATAAAGGGTCTATGAAAAGATTGATTTCTTTTTATGTTTTATTTGTTGACATTTGAACACAAACTATGTAAGTGAGGGAGTCGATTTGAAAGGGAGAAGAGCAAGTTCAAACACATTCAGGTGAGGTCATGCTTTACATGTTTTAATTGAAATGATCCATCTTGGGAGTAGATCAATAACTGAGATGGTGCCAGGAATGTTAAAAAGCTTTTGTCAGTCCTAAATATTGACAAATAAAATTTAATTAAAGTCTTAGAAGAAAACACAAAGGAAAACTTCACAACATCGGATTTGGCAGTGATTCTTTAGATGTGACAACAACGGCACAGGCTACTACAGAAAAAATAAACAAGTTAGACTTTATGAAAATTTTGAAATATTGTGACTCAAAAGACAACATCAGTTACTTCACATGGCAAGGAAAAAGAACTTTTAAGACGATATTATCAAAGTAAAAAGACAACCCACAGAATGGGAGAAAATGTTTTCAAACCACACCACCTGTAAGGGATTAACATCCAGAATATACAGACAACTCCTAAAACTCAATCACAATAAACTCAATTCAAAAATGGGCAAAGTACTGAAACAGACATTTCTCCAAAGAACATACGCATGACAAGATATTCAGCATCACGAATCATTAGGGAAATACTAACTAAAACTACACCAGATGCCATTTCATACCCCTTAGGATGGGTATCATCAAAACAACAACAACAACAACAACAACAAAGTTTCTATACATTAACAACAAACTATCCAAAAAAGTTTACAAGAAAATAAGCCCATTTGCAATAACTACAGAAAACAAAACATGCAGGAATAAATTCACCCAAGGAGTAGAAAGATCTGTATGCAAAAGCTATAAAACATTGATGAAAAAACTCAAGAAATAAACAAATAAATCGAAAGATATTCCATGTTCACGGATCAGAAGGATTAATGTTGTTAAAATGTCCATTCTATCCAAAGTGATTCAATGCAACCATTATCAAAAATCCAATGACATTTTTTTTTACAGAAATAGAAAAAACAGTCCTAAAATTCATGTGGAACCACAAAAGATCTCAAATAACCAAAGCCATCTAGAGGGAAAGGAACAAAGTTGGAAGCATCACATTACCTAAACACAAACTACATTACAAAGTTACAGTAATTAAAACAACACAGTACTTGCATAAAAACAGACACATAGACCAATGGAAGTGATTCATAGCCCAGGAAAAAAAATGCACGCATTTAGGGTCAAACAATTTTTGGGATGTATCAAGAACACACAATGGAGAAGGAACAGTCTCTTTAATAAATGGGATTGGGAGACATGCAGAAGAATGGAAGTGGACATTTGCCTCACAAAACATACAAAGTCAACTCAAGATAGATTAATGACTTAAATGTAAGGTGAAAGACTATCATCCCAGCAATTTGGGAGGCCAAGGCGGGCAGATCACCTAAGGTCAGGATTCCAAGACCAGCATGGCCAACATGGTGAAATCCCGCCTCTACTAAAAATACAAAAACAGCTGGGTGTGGTTGTGGGTGCCTGTAATCTCAGCTACTCGGGAGGTTGAGACAGGAGAATCACTTGAACCCAGGAGGTAGAGGTTGCAGTGAGCCGAGATCGCATCACTGCACTCCAGCCGGGGCAACAGAGTGAGACTCCATCTTAAAAAAAAAAAAAACTACTAAAAGAAATCAAGGGAAAACTCCACTGGCTTGGGCAAAACCATTTTGGATATTAACCCAAAGGCCCAGGCAACAAAAGCAAAAGTAGACAAATAACATTATATCAAATTGAAAGTTTCTGCAAAGAAAAAAAAAAACTCAACAAGTGGAAAGACAACCTATGGAATGGGAGAATATATTTGCACCCATACATCTAATAAGGAATTAATATCCAAAATATATAAGAAACTCAAACAACTCAATGGTAAGAAATCAAATAACCCAACTTAAAAAAATGGGCAAAGTATCTGAATAAACATTTCTAAGAATAAGACAAATCACCAAAAGGTATATGAAAAAATGATTAGCATTACTAAACATCAGCTAAATAAAAATTAAAACTAGAATGAGATATCACCTCACACCTCTTAGAATGACCATTAACAGTCTGGGCATGGTGGCTCATGCCTGTAATTCAGGCACTTTGGGAGGCCGAGGCAGGGAGATTACCTGAGGTCAGCAGTTCGAAACCAGCCTGGCCAATATGGTGAAATCCCATCCCTACTAAAAATACAAAAATTAGCAGAGTTTGGTGGCGCACACTTGTAGTCCCAGCTACTCTGGAGACTGAGGCAGGGGAATCGCTTGAACCCAGGAGGCAGAGGTTGCAGTACACCGAGATTGTGCCACTGCACTCCAGCCTGGGTGACAGAGCAAGACTGAGTCTCAAAAAAAAAAAAAAAAAGACCATTATCAAAAACATAAAAAATAACAAGCATTAACGAGGATGTGGAGAAAAGGGAACATTTGTATGCAGTTGATGGGAATGTAAATTAGCACAACCATTATGGAAAACAGTCTGGAAGTTCCTGAAAAAATTAAACATAGAATTCCCATATGTGTCTGCAATCCAACTACTGCGCATGTATCCAAAGGAAGTGGAATCAGTATGTTGAAGAGATATCTGCATTCCCATGTTTACAGCCGCATTATTCATAACAGCCAAGATGTGGAATCACCCTTACTGCCCATCTATGGGTGCATGGACAAAGAAAACGTGGTATACGATAGGAACGTAATGAAGTACTATACAACCTTTACAACAAAGAAGGAAGTCCTCTCATTTGTGACAATGTGAAAAAACTTAGAGGACATTATGTTAAGGGAAACAATCCAGGCACAGAAAGACAAATGCCACATGATCTCATGTGTGGAGTGTAAGAAGTGGAACCTAGAGGAACAGTAAAATGGTCGTCGAAAGAACCTGGGAAGGAGAGAGATTGAAGAGATGTTGGTCAAAGGATGCAAAATTTCAGTTAGAAGAAATCGGTTCAAGAGATCTATTGTATGTCTTGGTGACTCCATTTAATAGCAACATATGGTGTATTGAACATTACTAAGAGATTAGATTTTACATGTTCTCACCACACACACAAAACATACAAGTATGTGAAAAAATAAATAGATAAAGAGGTTGTTTCATCCATTCCACAATGTGTACCTATATGAAAACATCATGATGGACACCACAAATACCCTTTTCCTCATTAATTAAATTTGTTTTGGCTTTTTTTTTGAGACGCAGTTTCACTGTTGTTGCCCAAGCTGAGGTGCAATGGCGTGATCTCCGCTCACTGCAACCTCTGCCTCCCAGGTTCAAGCGGTTCTCCTGACTCAGCCTCCCAAGCAGCTGGGACTACAGTTGCGTACCACCCCGTCCGGCTATATTTGTGTTTCTAGTAGAGACAGGGTTTCGCCATGTTGGCCAGGCTGGTCTCGAACTCCAGACCTCAGGTGATCCACCCGCTTCGCCCTCCCAAAGTGCTAGATTTCAGGCTGAGACACCACACCCAGCCTGTACATTGACTTTCTGCCCTTAAACTGTGCTGAAGTTTGTTTCTCAGATGTAGGAGCCTTTGGGCAGAGACTATGGGGTTTCTAGGTATAGAAATTATCTCATCTTCAAACAGAGGTAATTTGACTACCTCTCTCTGCTACTCTCTTCTTACTTGGATGCCTTATAATTCTTTCTCTTTCCTGATGGCTCTGTCTAGGACTTCAAGTACTATGTTGAATAGGATGGTGAGAGTGGGCATTCTTGTCTTGTTTCACTTATGAAGGGAACTTCTTCCAGCTTTTACTCATTCAGTATGATGTTGGTTGTGGGTTTGTCATAGGCGGCTCTTATTATATTGAGTTATGTTTCTTCAATGCTTAGCTTGTTGAGGGCTTTTAACATGAAGAAATGCTTAGTAAAAAGTATGTTCTACATGTGTGTTGAGAAGATCATGTGGTTTTTGTTTTTAGTTTTGTTTAGGTGATGAATCACATGTATTGATTGTGTATGTTCAACCAACCTTGCACCCTAAGAATAAAGTTGACTTGATCATGGTGGATTCACTTTTTGATATGCTGCGGGATTCAGTTCTTAGTATTTTTTGTGGATTTTTGCATCTATGCTCATCAGGAATATTGGCATGTAGTTTTCTTTTGTTTAATATTCTTTTCTGTCTTTAGTATCAGGGTGATGCCAGCCTTATAGAATGAGTAAAGGCCACCCTGGGCAAACAGTGAGACCCATCCCTTTTTAAAAATTATGAGTTTTACAAATTTAAAATGCATAGTGAAAAAGTTCTTACAAACTCCAGAAAGGTAGGTGTAAATAAGAGACATTTGTAAGAATGACAGCACATTAAATGTGTAGATTTCAACCTTCAGTTATTGCAATATTCCAGTATCAAGTTGGAGGATGTTATCAGTCTGATATTTTTTCCTCAAATGAGAGAGAGAAAGAAAGACACACAAACAACACAGGGAGAAAAAAAGCACACGTTACAGAGAGACAAAAAGGGAGACAGGGAACTGTGAATTTGGACTCTTGTGTCATAAGACAAATTCTAGATAACACGACCAGACCTTCAATTGACATATTGTGTTTTTGCTAATAAGGTGGAATTCTATGATGCGAAATAACTATATAGTCTTTTCTACTGGGATTTAAATCATTTTATCTGTTTCTGGCTTAACAGGAAAAATACAACCATGGAAAATTATGATGATTTATTTAATACGATTGCTCTATAGTGTTAATAAAACCTATTAGGTATTTTGCATATTACATATCAAGGAGAGTTTGAATCTCAGGTAGAAACAAAAAAAAATACATCAAAAGTTCCTCATGTGAGTGCAGAATTCAATCGTCCCGTGCAGGGGTAAGTGAGTCTGAGATGTGTTTTGAGCCTGGCCGTTGCGCATGATGTGAACTGACAAGTCTAGTCTGCAGTTTTCAGAAACCCTCATTCCTCCCTTGACTGACTCACCACTTGAACCTCATATGACGTAGAAGAAGCCTACCTATGTCCCCTTCACATGTTGTGGTCAATGTGTCAACTGCACGATCCGGGCCCCTCACCACATCCTCTGCACCGGTCAGTCGAGCCGAGTCACTGCGTCCTGGCAGCAGAAGCTGCACCATGTCCATGTCACCCACGGTCATCATCCTGGCATGTCTTGGTGAGTCCTGGAAGGGAAGGAGCACCAGGGTTACACTATGGGCCTGCAGATTGGGTGTCTCCCCAGCAGAGAGCCATGTTCTGAAGCAAGTGAGTGGTGAGGATGAGTTAATTTTCAGTCCAGCGTGGCGCCCAGTGGCTCAGGAGGAAAGGGTAGGTTGGTGCCGAGATGAATAGTTCATCATGATCTTTCTTTGCAGGGTTCTTCTTGGACCAGAGTGTGTGGGCACACGTGGGTGAGTCCTTCCCCAAATGATGGGTTGCCATCTTCACCCCAATACAAGTGAATTTTCCGGAAATGGGAGGGAGGCAGCACAGAGGGTGGGCTGATGGGCTGACCATGGGAAGGCCTGGGGGGAGTCTCTCATGAACTAGTAAGAGGAGATCCTGGGAGTCTCTCATGAACTAGTAAGAGGAGATCCTGGGAGTCTCTCATGAACTAGTAAGAGGAGATCCTGGGAGTCTCTCATGAACTAGTAAGAGGAGATCCTGGTATGCTCAGCCCTCTGTTTTGTCTTAGCCCTCCCCAGCCTTTCTTCCCCATGGCTGAGTTGAGCTCTGTGTGGCCCAGGCGGGATACTGAGGTGCTCAAAGCTGGGGTGTGTGGGGGGATGTGGTGTCACCGACAGAGGAGGGAAGGGTAGCAGTGTTAGGAACAGCAGGTCCTCTGAGGACAAGAGGGTAACTCACACCCTCCAGCGTTTCCATGACGGTAGGGGCTGCAGTGTGGCTGCTGTCATTCTGCCAGAAGAGGTGGGGGAACCACAGCCACGACCCTGCCATTCCAAATCCTCTGATGGAGCTCAGTTGTTTATTGTGGTTCAGGCATTAGCTAATATTCCATTCACAAAGGTCATACCCTCCACCCCATGTCTACTTTGTGTTGTTTGGTGTAACTAATCTTGCAGTATTAAAATCTAGTAAGAGTCCCTTACTCAGCACCTGCTCAGTTCTCAACTGACACTTTTGTTGTAGGGAGACGCCACGTCTATGCGGGATGGGTCCTTCCTGTAGCCCCAGGCACCCAGGTGTGGTAGGAGCCTTAGAAAGAAGAAATGGGGAGAATCTTCTGAGCACAGGGAGGGAGGGGCAGCTCAACATACTCCTCTCTGAGGCGGCATCTCCTTCTCCCCAAGGTGGTCAGGACAAGCCCTTCTGCTCTGCCTGGCCCAGCGCTGTGGTGCCTCAAGGAGGACACGTGACTCTTCGGTGTCACTATCGTCGTGGGTTTAACATCTTCACGCTGTACAAGAAAGATGGGGTCCCTGTCCCTGAGCTCTACAACAGAATATTCTGGAACAGTTTCCTCATTAGCCCTGTGACCCCAGCACACGCAGGGACCTACAGATGTCGAGGTTTTCACCCGCACTCCCCCACTGAGTGGTCGGCACCCAGCAACCCCCTGGTGATCATGGTCACAGGTCAGAGGGCTCCTGTCTGGGCTTCTCCTTGTCCCACCTCCTGAGTCCCAGAGCTTCTGGTGGGGGTGTCCACCAGAGTCCGATCATCCAGGCCCCAACTATATTTGGGGTAAAGGGGGATTGAATACAGGGGAATGGGTGCTGTGTTGGAAAGAATAACTGTCCCCATCGATGGCCACATTGTAATCCTTGGAGCCTGTGACTATGTTATAGGGCAGGGGACTGAAGGGGAAGATGGAGCTCAGGTTGTTGATGAGTTGACCTTGAGATGGGGAGATGGCCTGGACTCTCCCACTGGGCTCAGTGTAATCACAAGGGTCCATATGAGTGGAGAAGGAAGAGGAGAATGGGGATTAGAGCAGCATCGTGGGATACTCCACCAGCCACTGTGGGCTTTGAAGGTGGAGGAAGACCACGAGCCACGAAGGGGCTGGAGAAATCAATGGAACTGATTCTCCCGAGTCTCCAGAGGGAATGCAGCCCTGCAGATGCATTGATTGTAGCCCAGGAAGAACAGGGTCTGATTTCTGTCTCCAGAAGTGGAAGGGGTCAGTGTGTTCTCTCCTGTCGCCATGTTTGTGATAATTTTCTCCAGCAACAACAGGAAACCAACACAGGAACCCAGGTGAAGGACAAGTTAAAAAACCAAACAAGAAGGTTGGCTACCCTGAGATCAGCAAGGGTGCACTGCTGATGCCACCACCAGGCTGGAACCACATAGGGAGGGATCGACAGGAAGAGTTGGGGGTGGAGGGTGAGAGAGAGAGAGAGAGCACTAGGCCATAGAGCAGGGCAGTGAGTTCTCAGCTCAGGTGGGAGGGGAGCTGTGACAAGGAAGAACCTCCCTGAGGAAACTGCCTCTTCTCCTTCCAGGTCTATATGAGAAACCTTCGCTTACAGCCCGGCCGGGCCCCACGGTTCGCACAGGAGAGAACGTGACCTTGTCCTGCAGCTCCCAGAGCTCCTTTGACATCTACCATCTATCCAGGGAGGGGGAAGCCCATGAACTTAGGCTCCCTGCAGTGCCCAGCATCAATGGAACATTCCAGGCCGACTTCCCTCTGGGTCCTGCCACCCACGGAGAGACCTACAGATGCTTCGGCTCTTTCCATGGATCTCCCTACGAGTGGTCAGACGCGAGTGACCCACTGCCTGTTTCTGTCACAGGTGAGGAAAGCCAATGTCTGTCCCATGTCCTATGGTCCTAGAGCCTTAGCTGAGGAGCTTCCTGCTGATGATGGAGAGAAGCATGGACAGATGTGGAGAGAAGATGCAGCATGGTGTGAGGGTGGGATCAGGGCACAGGATGGCAGACAGGGCACCTCCAAACCCTCCTGCATGGCCTGCATGGAAGCTTGCAGTAAGGGCTCCGGGTACCCAGGCAGATGGAGAAAGTGGTCAGGACAGACCCAGAGGAGGGAGACTGGGCTCAGTTTGGGGAGATCAGAGGTTCCCTCAGCCCCTCAACCTTACCCATTTCCCAGAAGCCCACCCTGGCCTCTCACCTACACAGAGATGTCATCACCAGCAACCCCTACACTTTTTCTTTTCCTTTGAAAAAATGCTGATTGAGGTTAAATATACCTATATAATTTATCAACTTTACCATTTTTAAGTGTAAAATCTAGGGATCATAAATACCTTTATATGCTGTGTGCGGTGGCTCACGCCTGTAATCTCAGCATTTTGAGACGCCAAGGCAGGTGGATCATTTAAAATCAGGGGCTGGAGACCAGCCCGGCCAACATGGGGGAACCAATCTTTACTAAAAAGACAAAAAAAATAAAATTAGCCAGGCATGGTGCCAGGCGCCTATAATCCCAGCAACTTGGGAGGCTGAGGCGGGAGAGTGGCTTAAACCCAGGAGGAGGAGGTTGCAGTGAGCTGAGATCATGCCACTGCACTGCAGCCTGGTGACACAGAGAGACTCTGTCTCTAAATAAATAAATAAATAAATACTTTTATATTCTTCTTTTGTTACCCTCCACCCCTTCCTTCCTAACCTCTGGTATCCACCATTCTACTCTCTACCTTCATGAGGTCCACCTTTTACATCCTGCATGTGAGTAAGAAATGGCAATCCTTGTAATGACCTCTAGTCCATCCATGTGGCTGCAAATGACAGGACGTTACTCTTTCTATGGATGAGTTGTCTCCATTGTGTGTATGTACTACATTCTCTCTATCCATTCATCCACTGATGGGCAGGTAGGTTGACTCCACATCTTGGCTACTGTGAACAGTGCTGGAACAGTCATGGGAGTGCAGATGTCACTTCAATACACTGAAGTCCTTTTCTTTGCATTTACACCCACTAGTGGAATTGCTAGATCCTCTGGATGTTCTCTTTTTAGGTTTTGTTTTATGCTTTTTGTTTTTTTGACATAGCGTTTCACTCTTGTTGCCCAAGCTGGAGTGCAATGGCACCACCTGGGCTCACTGCAACCTCTACCTCCAGGATTCAAGTGATTCTCCAGCCTCAGCCTCCCGAGTAGTTGGGATTACTGGTGCCCGCCACCAAGCCTGGCTGATTTTTGTATTTTTAGTAGAGACGGGGTTTCACCATGTTAGCCAGGCTGGTCTCGAACTCTTGACCTCCAGTGATCTGCCCACTTCAGCCTCCCAAGGTGCTGGGATTACAAGCGTGAGCCACAGTGCCTAATCTCTTTTCAGTTTTTAAGGAACTTCCATATTCTTCTCCTCTGTAATGGCTGTATTAATTTACATTCCTATCAACAGTGTATCAGGGTTCTCCTTTCTCCACCACCTTGCCAACATTTGTTTTGTCTGTCTCTGAGATAAAACCCATTGTAATGGGGTGAGATGATAGCTCATTGTGACTTCATTTGCATTTCTCTGATGATTAGTGATACTGAGCACTTTTTCATATATGCAATGTATATATGTTCATTTGTATGTTTTGTTCATTGAGAAATGTCTGTTCAGGTCTTTTACTAATTTTATAATTAAATTATTAGTTTTATTGAGGTGTTTGAGCTTCTTTTATATTCTAGTTATTAATCCCATCTCAGATGCATAGTTTGCAAATATTTGCTCCCATTCTGTGGGTTTTCTCTTCTTCACTTCATTGGTTGCTTCCTTTGCGGTGCAGAAGCTGCTTGATTTGATATAATCCCAATGGTCTATTTTTTTTGTTGTTGTTGTGATTACTTGTGTTTTTGAGGTTTTAAACAAAATGTCTTCCCTCAGACAAATGTCCTGGAGCATTTCTCCAGTGTTTCCTTTTAGACATTTAATGGATTCAGGTCTTAAGTCATTAATCCATTTTCATCTGATTTTTGTGTATGGTGAGAGGTAGAGGTGCAGTTTCATCCCTCTGCATGTAGATATCCAGTTTTCCCTGCACCATTTATTGAAATGACTGTCCTTTCCAGATTGTAGATTCTTCGAACCTTTGTCAAAGTCCATTGGATGTAAATGGGTGGATTACATCCGTGTTCTTCATTCTGCTTCATTGTTTTATGTGCTTTTCTTTATGCCAATGTCATGTTGTTTTGCTTACTACAGCTCTGTAACATATTTTTAAGTCAGGTAGTGTGATGCTCCTGTTTTCTCCTTATACCTTGAAGTCTCAAGATAGTTGGTGTCACCTACAATGATTATGGAGAATGGGATGCCAGGACTCCCAGGGCCCAACATTAGATAATAGAAGGTTGGCCATGAACCAACCTCAAAGATTTCCATTGAGTAGAAAAGACAGGCATCCTCATTGCCACACCTCTCTCCTGTCCCATGTTCTAGGAAACCCTTCTAGTAGTTGGCCTTCACCCACTGAACCAAGCTTCAAAACTGGTAAGTGAAGGACCCCTCTTATCTCTGCTTTTGGAAACCTGGGGAGGTAGAAGCCTTGGATTCAAGCGTTGGCTCAGCACCTGCCAGCTCTGTGATTGTGGGCCTGTCTTCCATTGTCTCTGAACCCCAGACACTCCAACAGCGAAAGGGATCTGGGCCCAGCACAGGGCTCAGTGAAATCTCTTAATCTCTAATTTTCTGCTGCTGAGACCTCAGGGTAGAAGGATGAGTGCAAATCAGACATTCTTCTCAGGAAAAATGCTGTGTTTGTTCTGCCTGCATTCCTAACTGGGAGGACAAATGCCTGGGGGCTTGAGAAGGGGAAGGAAGGGGAACATTTTTGAGGGTGGTGTGTTTGTAGAGAAGTTCTACTTGCCAAGGAATGAGCTCCTGTCTGTCATGATCCAACCCTGGTTGACTTAGTGGAACAAGAGCTTTGCGGTAAGAGAGAACGTAGTTCATCCGTGCACATGACACTTCCACTTACTCGTTCAGCCACTGCCCCATGCTCAGACTGTGCAGTGTGGAACTTTTTCCTATGTTGCCATAACAAATTTCCACAAGCTTCGTGGATGGAAACCACATTTTTAAAAAATATCTCATGGTGCTGTAGCTCAGAAGTATGAAATGCATCATCTCACTGGGCTAAAATCAAGGTGACAGCAAGGCTGCCTTCCCTCTGAATGTTCCAGGCAAGAATCTGCTTCCTCACTTTTCCCAGCTCCTAGAGGCTCCCACATTCCTTGGCTCCTGGTCCCCGTCTTCCTCCCTCAAAGTCCACAAAGGCTGGTCACGCCTCTCACACGGCATCACTCAGACCCTTCTTCCTTGTCCACACCTCTTTCTCTGAATGCTGCTCTGCCTTCTTCCTCATCTTTTAAGGACTTTGGCATTCTATTGGAAACACCAAGATAATCCATCATAATTTCCCTAAAATCATCTAGGATACCCTCCTTTTAAGGTTAGCTGATTAGCAACCGTAATTCCATCTGCAATCTGCATTCCTTTTTTCCATGTAAAATAACATATTCACAAGATATGGCGACTAGGACAGGAACATTTTGGGGTGGGGCGGCATTCTTATCCTTTCCACAAATGGTAAACAAGGTGCATTTGGCCTCTGCTCTTGGACACTGATATTGCAAAGGATTAAATGGGAGGGCAGAAAATGAATACACCAGTGGACCAATAAATGAATGATCCATTGGGAAGCATCTGTGCATGAGAATGATTGATTGATTGGTTGTTTTTATGAGACGGTGTCTCCCTCTGTGCCCCAGGCTGGAGTGCAGTGGCGGGATCTCGGCTCACCGCAACCTCCACCTCCCAGGTTAAAGCGATTCTCTACACTCAGCTTCCCGAGAGGCTGGGATTACACCCATGTCCCACCACGCCTGGCTAATTTTTTTTTGGTATTTTTTTTTAGTACAGACAAGGTTTTACCATGTTGCCCAGGCTATCTCAAACTCCCAACCTTAAGGGATCCGCCCGTCTCAGCCTCCCAAAGTGCTGAGATTAGAGGCGTGAGCCAAGGCGCCGAGCCGTATTTTAAAAGAAATAATAGATAATGCTGAGTGTATAATTTCGGGTGACAGAGAAGTTCTCACTGATCAAATAATACTTGTGACCTTAATGAAAAAAATAGATCAACCCCTGGAAGATTGGCGGAAGGATTTTCCACACAGCTGTCAGCCGTGAAGGCACAAAGGTGAAAACAATGTTATGTGGAAGGAAGAGGCTCTGCCTGAAATGCTGGGAATGACATGGGGAGAATGACAAGACGACTGTGGAGAGACAGAGAGCACTCTGGGTACACAGGAAACTAAGGAGGAACAAGGAGCGTGTGTTTGATACTCACAGCCATTGGACTTACCTCGGGGCTAACTGGGAATCCCTACATGATGAATAGTGACTGACATGAAAATAAGGGAGGCCCAGGTGCATAACTGGAATCTAGGAGACTGTGGAAAAGGCAATTCCCGCCCCCCTGGTGAAATGTGGTGCTGATTTAGACACTAAATGAATGAAAGATGGACACAAGATGTGTTTGTGAGGTAGAGTAATTTGCAGGGAGGGCTTGCCTGGTTTGATTTTTCCTAATTGTTTAATCTTCACTTCATTGATTTCTTTCTGAGATTTATTTTTCCTACATGTAAATCAATACTTGGCAGAGGAGTGAGAGATACATGAGGGGTGGTGCAAAGGAAGAGACCTATTATAATATAACACACAAGGTTCTGAACGGTGGCTCACACCTGTAACCCAACATTTTGGGAGGCTGAGGAGGCTGGATCAAGTGAGATCAGGAGTTCGAGATCAGCCTGGACAACATGGTGAAACCCCATCTCTACAAAATATACAAAAACTAGCTGGGGGTGGTGGCGCGTGCCTGTAATACCAGCTATTCAGGAAGTTGAAGAAGGAGAATGGCTTCAACCAGGGAGGGAGAGGTTACAGTGAGCCAAGATCGCGTCATTGCACTGCACCCTAGGTGACAGAGTGAGACTCCATGGCAAAAAATAAAAATAAAGAATACATAAATATAATATAACATACACGAATGACAAAGGCACACCAATTCCAATCATCATTTTTCTATTTCTCTATAATGACTTCTTTGATCCTTTATCCTATCCATAAGAAAATCAGGCGAAAACATCTTCCTTATTTGGCTTTCTGTGAGCATGAGATCATATGGAAAATGTGAAACCCACCAGCACAGGTCCTGGAATAGAGAACGTGATCTGTTCATGGCACAAAACTTGCCCCTTCACCCAAATCCCCCACCTCACCCCTACTTCCAATCACATTAATGATACAGATAGATCATGGGGAGGTAAAAACTAATATTCTTTGGAGTTCAGATCGTAGACTCAGAGACCAGTGCCAGCACTATCTCCTGGTCACCTTTTGGAGTAATTCACAGAAAGACAGGCTGTATTGAAGCAACAGATGATGGAGGGGGTGGTCTTTCCCCCAGACTCTCGGGTGGAACAGCAGCCTAATATCTGACTCCCAAGATGACAAAAGTAGCATGTTGCCCACGAGCTTCATCATTATTTCCTGGCTGTTTGATATAAGACAGCTCAACCTCACTTATGTTGATTTCAATGTCACTGTTTTTTCCTTTTCTTGGAGAATGTAATTTGTTTGAGTCAAGAGGGTTGTGGATGTAGAAACTGTAAAGCACATTCACTGTGTATCAATCCCAGTCCAGTCTTCCCAGAGAAGACTCTAAACACCTCCCATACTGCACCTGGGCCTGTGCCAATTTCTATCACTCACCATCACTCCAGGGAGACAGAACACACAGGGAATACATTACATAGGCAGGTTCATTACTTATAGATAAGCAGCGAGTGACAACAGAAACCTTCCTTTCAGGGTGAGCCAGTCCCTCAAGGCTCAGAAAAACTGCTCAGGACACATGGAGTCACTTCATGTGCACTGTAGCTGGGGGAAGCCAGAAAGCAGCCCAGCCTGGGTTTTGTACCCTGGAGCCACAGGGAACACTCAGCTAAAGCACTGCATGATGTTCTCCTCCAGGAAGAACAGGAAGACAGCCCAGGCTGTTCTGAGACGTTCCTCCTGATCTCAGGATGTTGCTGTCTTAGCCTATTTTTGTTGCTATAAAAGAACACTTGAGCCTGGGTATCTTCTAAAGAAAAGAGATGTGTTTGGCTCACTGATCGGCACGCTGTACTAGAAGCAGGACACTACCATCTATTTCTGGCTGCGGCCTCAGGCTGCTCCCACACTGACAGAAGAGAAGGGGGTCCTGCGTGTGCAGAGACCACAGAGATCACATGGCAAGAGAGGGAGAAAGGGGGTGTGATGGAGCTTCCAAGCTCTTTTTAAGAATCAACTCTCCAGGGTACTAATAGAGGGAGAACTTGCTAAACCCGTCCTCTGGGGACAGCATTAATCTATTCATGATGGATCCACCCCCATGACCAAAACACCCCTCCCAATAGGCACAACCTCCCACACTGGGGATTAAATTTCAAAGTGGGGTTTGGAGGGGTCAAACATTGAAACAATAGCAGTTGTATCATCAGCACATTCTATTGTTATTATGAAAACTATAACGGAGAAAGCAGGAGAAAGCTGGGTCTCCCGCCTCGTGGGTGCTTGTCCTAAAGAGGTGTTTTATGTGGTTGCCTGGCAACCAAGAAATGAGAGACAATCCACAAAGAGGAACTGCTATGGTTAGCTTCTTATTGGATTCTCATCTTCCTCCAGGTATCGCCAGACACCTGCATGCTGTGATTAGGTACTCAGTGGCCATCATCCTCTTCACCATCCTTCCCTTCTTTCTCCTTCATCGCTGGTGCTCCAAAAAAAAAAGTAAGCCTCACGAAGCAGAGGCCAGAGAACTCAGGGCCCTGTGCGGAAGCAGGATGGGAGCACGCAGGTGTGTGTTCCTCACTGGCAGGAAAGTCTCTGGCCCAAGGCAGGAGCCAGAGGCAGAGCTTTCTAGAGAGAGCACCAGACACCCTGCCCCTGCCTTCAGCTCACAGACCATTGCCTGATTGTGAACTGTATCCTCACGTCCCCTGCAGCCACTCACATCCAGGAGAAGATTCCATGACAGGCAGAAAGTGGGAGATAGAATCAATGGGATGGGAACTGACAGCTATTCATGGAATGGGGTCTTGCACTCAGAGAGATGGAATGTCTGAGTCTGGCTGTTGGCAGCTGAGGGACCTCAGGCACCTATGGCCTCCCCCTGTGTGTTGGTATCTGTTCATGAAATGAGGACCCAGAAGTGCCCTCCCAGCTGTTTTGATTGCTTCCGTCTCCTACAGATGCTGCTGTAATGAACCAAGAGCCTGCGGGACACAGAACAGTGAACAGGGAGGTAGGTCCTCCTAGCCCAGCCTCATGGATACAGTCTTATTCCCTAATAGTCCTGAAAAATGTGAACACCCTCCCTCACTCAGGATTTCCCTCTCTCCAGGACTCTGATGAACAAGACCCTCAGGAGGTGACATACGCACAGTTGGATCACTGCATTTTCACACAGAGAAAAATCACTGGCCCTTCTCAGAGGAGCAAGAGACCCTCAACAGATACCAGCGTGTGTATAGAACTTCCAAATGCTGAGCCCAGAGCGTTATCTCCTGCCCATGAGCACCACAGTCAGGCCTTGATGGGATCTTCTAGGGAGACAACAGCCCTGTCTCAAACCCAGCTTGCCAGCTCTAATGTACCAGCAGCTGGAATCTGAAGGCGTGAGTCTCCATCTTAGAGCATCACTCTTCCTCACACCACAAATCTGGTGCCTGTCTCTTGCTTACCAATGTCTAAGGTCCCCACTGCCTGCTGCAGAGAAAACACACTCCTTTGCTTAGCCCACAATTCTCTATTTCACTTGACCCCTGCCCACCTCTCCAACCTAACTGGCTTACTTCCTAGTCTACTTGAGGCTGCAATCACACTGAGGAACTCACAATTCCAAACATACAAGAGGCTCTCTATTAACACGGCACTTAGACACGTGCTGTTCCACCTTCCCTCGTGCTGTTCCACCTTTCCTCAGACTATTTTTCAGCCTTCTGGCATCAGCAAACCTTATAAAATTTTTTTGATTTCAGTGTAGTTCTCTCCTCTTCAAATAAACATGTCTGCCTTCATTCTTTAGGTGACTCTTTTTTTGGCTGAAAGTTTCCAGTGTTATCATTACCATGTCCAAATAACTCCAACTGTTCTCCACTGGGTTCTCACCCCTGGACTCTGAGCTTCTGGAAGCAGGGTGGAGCCTGATTTGTCTCTGAGACTCCAATTTCCATCCAAAGATGCAGCACATAAGAGGTTCCAAGGATCGTGAATCACATGAACAAGTGATATTCTTACTCTCTGCAGACCTGGAAAGCTGGCAGAGTCATTCCATGATGAAACATTTGTAGAGTCATAGGCCTTGTCAGTCTCATCTCCACGGGGACACATATCAACACATCATCTTTCATACTATAAATATACAGTCGGTCCTCTGTATCTGTGGGATTTACAGGTGTTTATTGAACCAAATATAAATCAAAAATATTCAGAGAAAAAATCCACAAAGTTTCAAAAAGCAAAACTATGTTGAATGGACACAAATGAAGCTGTGTGTAGGCTGTATCAGGAATTATAAATAATCAAGGGATGATTTCATGTACACAGGAGGATGTGCATGGGTTATTTGCAAATGCTGTGCCATTTCATGTAAGAGGCTTGAGCATCTGCAGATTGTGCTATCTGAGTGGAGATCCTGAAACCAATCACCCACGAATAGTGAGGGATGACTGTATATAATTTTTATTTCTCAATTTTAAATATAAAACATAAAAAAATTACAATAACAAGATAAAATAAACAAGTGTTTTATAGTGTGAGAATACTTTTAGATATATTTTTCTCCATGTGTAACCCTTGGGCCCATGTTATTTATTGAGAAGACATTCTATTCCACCTTAAACCACATGGCAGCCTTTGTCAACTATAAAGGGACTGTGTGTACACGGATGTATTTTAGACACTGTTTTCTGCTCAGTGGCTCTCTCTCTGTCCACTCTCTTGAGAATGCTGCATTTTATGCAGCCTTATACAACCCCTAAAATTTGGTAGCTGGAGTCCTCTAGTTATTTATTATAGGCTATTTGCTATGCTTTTTTTATTTTTCTTGAGGCAGAGTCTCGCTCTGTTGCCCAGGCTGGAGTGCAGTGGCACGATCTCGGCTCACTGCAACTTCCGCCTCCCAGGTTCAAGGGATTCCGTGGCTCAGCCTCTTGAATAGCTGGCATTACAAGTGCCTGCTACCAGGCATGGCTAATTTTTGTATTTTTAGCAGAGACATGGTTTCACTATATTGGCCAGGCTGGTCTCAAACTCCTGACCTCGGTTGATCACTCACTTCGGCTTCCAAAGTGCTGGGGAAATTGATTTTCTATAGCATTATGTTACTGGATATTTCTGTAAAATTTAAAATGAGGGAGGCAGAGAGACAGAGAGAGAGCAAACCATGAGTTGGAACTCTGGAATCTTGGGACATGAGACAAATTCTAGATAAATCTACAAAAATCCAGAATTTACATGTTGTGATTTTTGCTGATAAAGTACAATTCTAAGATTGTAAATAATTGCATAATCCTTCCCTGGGAGTTTAAATCATTTGAACTGGTTCTGCTGTAATACTAGAAATACAATCATGAAAAATTCTAATGGTTTATTAGTCACAATTGCTCTGAAAACCTTAATAATACCTATTAGATATTTTGCATATTACACAGGAAGAAGAGTTTGAATCTCAGATAAAAGCAAAAAAAATACATGAAAAGTCTTTCATGTTAGCACAGATTTTAGGCATCTCGTGTTCGGGAGGTTGGATCTAAGACGTGTTTTGAGTTGGTCATAGTGAAGGACGCGAGGTGTCAATTCTAGTGAGAGCAATTTCCAGGAAGCCATGTTCCGCTCTTGAGCGAGCACCCACTGGGCCTCATGCAAGGTAGAAAGAGCCTGCGTACGTCACCCTCCCATGATGTGGTCAACATGTAAACTGCATGGGCAGGGCGCCAAATAACATCCTGTGCGCTGCTGAGCTGAGCTGGGGCGCGGCCGCCTGTCTGCACCGGCAGCACCATGTTGCTCATGGTCGTCAGCATGGCGTGTGTTGGTGAGTCCTGGAAGGGAATCGAGGGAGGGAGTGCGGGGATGGAGATCTGGACCTGGAGGTAAAGATATGGGCCTAGAGGTGGAGTTATGGGCCTGGAGGTGGAGTTATGGGCCTGAAGTGGAGATCTGGGCCTGGAGTGGAGATCTGGGCCTGGAGTGGAGATAGGGGCCTGGGGTGGAGATATGTGCCTGGAGTGGAGATCTGGGCCTGGAGTGGAGATATGGGCCTGGGGTGGAGATATGTGCCTGGGGTGGAGATATGGGCCTGGAGGGGAGATATGGATGGGCCTGGAGGGGAGATGTGGGCCTAGAGGTGGAGTGATGGGCCTAGAAGTGGAGCGATGGGCCTGGAGTGGAGATATGGGCCTGGAGGTGGAGTTATGGGCCTGCAGTAGAGATATGGGCCTGAAGTGGAGATATGGGCCTGGAGTGGAGATATGGGCCTAGAGGTGGAGTTATGGGCCCGGAGGTGGAGTTAAGGGCATGAAGTGGAGATCTGGGCCTGGAGTGGAGATATGATCCTGGAGTGGAGATATGGGCCTGGGGTGGAGATACGGGCCTGGAGCAGACATACAAGCCTGGAAAGGAGATATGGGCCTGGAGAGGAGATAGAAGCCTGGAGTGGAAATATGGGCCTGGAGTGGAGATATGAGCCTGGAGTGGATATATGAGCCTGGAGTTGAGATAGGAGCCTGGAGTGGAGATATGGGCCTGGAGTGGACTTATCAGCCTGGAGAGGAGATATGGGTCTGGAGTGGAGATACGGACCTGGAGTGGAGATCTGGGCCTGTTGTGTAGATCTAGGCCTGGAGGTAGAGATCTGGGCCTGGAGGCTGAGTCTCTGCACAGCCGAGATCCTTGTTCCTGGGGGCAGGTAGGCAGCGAGGGTGAGTTTACCTTCAGCCCAGCAAGGGCCTGGCTGCCAAGACGCACAGCCCAGTGGGGGCAGCAGGGTGCCCTGGTTTGCCTGCAGATGGATGGTCCATCATGATCTTTCTTTCTAGGGTTCTTCTTGGTCCAGAGGGCCGGTCCACACGTGGGTGAGTCCTTCCCCAAACCTTAGGGTGTCATCTCCCCACATAAGAGGATTTTCCTGAAATGGGAGGGAAGTCCTGTCGGGGAGTCTCTCATAAACTAGGAAGAGGGGACCCTCGGATGCTCGGCCCACATTTCTGACCTTGCCCTCCCCGGCCTTTCTTTCCCTTTCCTGAGTCAAGCTCTGTGAAGACTGGGGTGAGACTAGGGTGCTCCAAGATGGGTGTGCAGGGAGGAAGTGGTGTCAGCAGCAGAGAAAGAGAGGGAAGCAGTGCTAGGAACAGCAGGTCCTCTGAGGACAAAGGTGTAACTCACACCCTCCAGCGTTTCCGTGATGGTAGGGGCTGCAGTGTGGCTGTGGTCTTTCTACCAGAAAAGGTGAGGAAACCACAGCCATGGCCCTGACATTCCAAATCCTCTGATGGGGGCTCAGTTCATCAATTGGCTGATATTCCATTCACATAGGACTTGCCCTCCATGCCGTGTCTACTTTGTGTTGTTTTATATGAGTAATTTTGCAGTATTAAAATCTAGTAAGAGTTGCTTCTCCAGCACTTGCTCAAAGTTCTCAGCTGACACTTGTTGTAGGGAGACGCCATGTCTATGCAGGATGGGTCCTTCCTGTAGCCCTGGGCACCCAGGTGTGGTAGGAGCCTTAGAAAGTGGAAATGGGGAGAATCTTCTGGGCACTGGGAGTGAGGGGCGGCTCCACATCCTCCTCTCTAAGGCAGTGCCTCCTTCTCCCCCAGGTGGTCAGGACAAGCCCTTCCTGTCTGCCTGGCCCAGCGCTGTGGTGCCTCGAGGAGGACACGTGACTCTTCGGTGTCACTATCGTCATAGGTTTAACAATTTCATGCTATACAAAGAAGACAGAATCCACGTTCCCATCTTCCATGGCAGATTATTCCAGGAGAGCTTCAACATGAGCCCTGTGACCACAGCACATGCAGGGAACTACACATGTCGGGGTTCACACCCACACTCCCCCACTGGGTGGTCGGCACCCAGCAACCCCGTGGTGATCATGGTCACAGGTCAGAGGCTTTCCGTCTGGGCTTCTCACTGTCCCACCTCCTGAATCCCAGAGCTTCTGGTGGGGGTGTCCGTCAGGGTCCCATCACCCAGGCCCTGACTGTATTTGGGGTCAAGGGAGATTGAATACAGGGGAAATGGGTGCTGTGGTGGGAAGAATCACTGTCCCCAATGATGGCTACATTGTAATCCCTGGAGCCTGTGACTATTTATGTTACAGGGCAGGGGACTGAAGGGGAAGGTGGAGCTCAGGTTGTTGATGAGTTGACCTTGAGATGGGGAGACAGCCTGGACTGTCCCACTGGGCTCAGTGTAATCACAAGGGTCCACATGAGAGGTGGAGGAAGAGGGGAGTGGGGATTAGAGCAGTGTAGTGGGAGGGAGACGCTATCAGCCACTGCGGGCTTTGAAGGTGGAGGAAGACCACTAGTCACAGAATGCAGGTGGCCTCTAAGGGCTGGAGAAGTCAAGAGAACTGATTCGCTGATTCTCCAGAGGGAACGCAGCCCTGTAGACACCTTGATTTCAGCACAGGGAGAACTGGATCCAATTTCTGTCTCCAGAAGTGGAAGGGGTCAGTGTGTTCTCTCCCGCTGCCATGTTTGTGGTAATTTTCTGCAGCAGCAACAGGAAACCAACACAGGAACCCAGGTCAAGGACAAGTTAGGAAACCAAACAAGGATAGCCAGATGTGGTGGTGGGCGCGAGTAATCCAACGACTGGGGAGGCTGAGGCAAGAGAATCACTTGAACTGGGGATTTGTTCAAAAGAGATTGATTCAGGCTGCTAAGAGCCTGGACATGCAGCCTCTCCTCTTCCACCCCCACATAGACAGCAGGAAAGAGATTAGTGGGAAACAGATACAACAGCCCAAGAGATGAGGCTGTCTTCACAGTGGCAAGGGAGTCAGGGGCTACTGGAGACAGAGGGACAGAGAAGAGGGAGGAAGACAGATGGAGGCACCTGCACCAGGGGATATGGGCACAGAAAAGACACGGAGATGCAGAGAGGGAGGAGAGAGACAGACACGGGGAGGGGAACCCTCACTCATTCCAGGTGCCATGGATGGGATGATAAAGAGAGATGCCTTCTAAACTCACAACTTCTCTTTCTAGGAAACCACAGAAAACCTTCCCTCCTGGCCCACCCAGGTCCCCTGGTGAAATCAGGAGAGAGAGTCATCCTGCAATGTTGGTCAGATATCATGTTTGAGCACTTCTTTCTGCACAAAGAGGGGATCTCTAAGGACCCCTCACGCCTCGTTGGACAGATCCATGATGGGGTCTCCAAGGCCAATTTCTCCATCGGTCCCATGATGCTTGCCCTTGCAGGGACCTACAGATGCTACGGTTCTGTTACTCACACCCCCTATCAGTTGTCAGCTCCCAGTGATCCCCTGGACATCGTGGTCACAGGTGAGAGTGTCTAGACATTGTTCTCATTGTCACTGGGACACAGAGTGAATGATCCAGGACTTGGAACCCCCAGGTGGTCATGAGGAAGATAAGTGTGGGATTCTTATGGAAAGAGAGTGACTTGGTGAGGTCTGTACCAACAGAGACAGAGAAACAGGAGACATAAGTACAGAACAGGTGTCATAACAGAGGACAGACACAGGGGCCATACAGGGAGGTAGAAAAGAGAGAAAGAGGTAAAGGAGACACTCAGACAGACAGACATGTCCCAGAGAGAGGTGTCCTTCCATGCTGACTTTGCTCAGAGACCTGGCACAGGTTAGAAGTTTCATTTCTGTTTTACCTCCACAAAGTGTTCCTACCAGAAGAACCCAAGGACACCCATATTTCTGACCTGAGTTGGGCCCTGTGGCCTCAGGCCTTGTGCCACCTACAGATGCCGTGTTTATTCTGACACCTCTGCCTTCCATGCAATGGAGAGTAATCATCCCAGGATATCATGGCCCCTGAACACCAACCCCTGTATGCTGTGTGAACTTGGGGTCCCCAGACTGGATTCTGAGGCTCATATTCCAAATAATCCCACATATGATAGGATCGCTGAGAGACACAGAGAAAAATCAGGGACACCAAAAAACAAAGACATAAACACACACAAAATGAGCCAGAAGAAGGAGATTAAGAGATTCACAGACACATAAAAAGAAAGAAAAGAGGGCAGAATGGAGAGAATGATGGAAAGGAGGAGAGAAAAGCCCCAAAATCAGAACCCTGAGGGAGGGACACAAAGACAGAGAAAGATAAATATGTGGGGATGGATTGCAGAGATTCCAAATAGAACTAGAGAGACTGAGAGGCAGAGAAAGACAAGGAGACGGAGAGAGAGAGATGATAGATGGATAGATAGACGTAGATAGATGATAAATAGGTAGATGATAGATAATGGATTGGTTATAGATACATAGATGATGACTGATAGATGATACATAGAGATGACGATGATGATGATAGACACATAGATATATACATAGATGATACATAAATAGAGACAGAGAGGCAGACAGAGAGGTAATAGAGAGAGAGATAGATGATACATATATAGATAATAGATGATTGATGGATAGATAGACAGATAGACAATTGATAGAGAGATAGATAAGTGATACATAAATATAGATGATAGATAATTTGTAGATAGACACAAAATAGATAAATAGATAGAAATGTGCAGAAAGTTATGAACAAGACAGAAAGTGAGAGACTCAAAATTAAAGAAAAAGGAAGATCAAGTCAACCAATCCAAGGAGGGTCAGAGAGAATAAAACAATCCAAAAAGGGAAAACATACCTCAGGGTGGGGAAGTGAGGTCATAGACCTAGAGAGACAGAAAAGGTAGAAGGAGGAAACAGATATGAAGAGAGATGGGGTGGAGGGTGAGAGAGAGAGAGAGAGCATTAGGTCATAGAGCAGGGGAGTGAGTTCTCAGCTCAGGTATGAGGGGAGCTATGACAAGGAAGAACCTCCCTGAGGAAACTGCCTCTTCTCCTTCCAGGTCCATATGAGAAACCTTCTCTCTCAGCCCAGCCGGGCCCCAAGGTTCAGGCAGGAGAGAGCGTGACCTTGTCCTGCAGCTCCCGGAGCTCCTATGACATGTACCATCTATCCAGGGAGGGGGGAGCCCATGAACGTAGGCTCCCTGCAGTGCGCAAGGTCAACAGAACATTCCAGGCAGATTTCCCTCTGGGCCCTGCCACCCACGGAGGGACCTACAGATGCTTCGGCTCTTTCCGTCACTCTCCCTACGAGTGGTCAGACCCGAGTGACCCACTGCTTGTTTCTGTCACAGGTGAGAAAAGCCCATATCTCTCTCATGTCCTATGATCCTAAATCCTTAGCTAAGGAGCTTCCTGCTGATGATGGAGAAAAGCATGGACAGATGCAGAGAGAAGACACAGCAGGTGTGAGGGCGGAGTCAGGGCGCAGGATGGCAGACAGGGCACCTCCAAACCCTCCTTCATGGCCTGCATGGAGGCCTCCGATCAGGGCTCCAGGCACCCAGGCAGATGGAGAAAGCGGTCAGGACAGACCCAGAGAAGGGGAGACTGGGCTTAGTTTGGGGAGATCAGAGGTTCCCTCAGCCCCTCAATCTTATCCATTTCCCAGAAGCCCATCATGGCCTCTCACCCACACAGAGAGATATCATCACCAGCAACCCCTACACCCTTTTCTTTTCATTTTCAAAAATATTTATTGAGGTTAAATGTAACTATATAATTTACCACCTTTACCATTTTTAAAAGTAAAATCTAGTGGTCATAAATACCTTTATATGCTGGGTGTGGTGGTTCACGGTTGTAATCTCGGCGCTTTGAGAGGCCAAGGAAGGTGGATCATTTAAGATCAGGAACTCGAGATCACCCTGGCCAACATGTGGGAAATTCATCTTTACTAAACAGACAAGAAAAATTAGCCGAGCATGCTGGCATGCACCTGTAGTCCTAGCTACTTGGGAGGCTGAGGCAGGAGAAGCACTTAAACCCAGGAGGCAGAGGTTGCACTGAGCCGAGATCATGCCACTGCACTGCAGCCTGGGAGACAGAGAGAGACTCTGTTTCTAAATAAATAAATACATCTATATTCTTTTTTTTGTTACCCTCCACCCTTCCCTTCCTGGCCTCTGGTGTCCACCATTGTATTCTCCACCTTCATGAGATCCACCTTTTATCTCCTGCATGTGGGTGAGAAATGGGAATCTTTGTAATGACCTCCAGTTCCATCCATGTGGCTGCAAATGACAGGATGTTATTGTTTCTATGGATGAGTAGTCTCCACTGTGTGTGTGTACCACAGTTCTCTATCCATTCACCCACTGATGGGCAGGTAGGTTGACTCCACATCTTGGCTACTGTGAACAGTGCTGGAACAGTCATATGAGTGCAGATATCACTTCGATACACTGATGTCCTTTCCTTTGGATATAAACCCAGTAGTGAAATTGCTGGACACTATGAAAGTTCTCTTTTTTTTTTTTTCTTTTTTGAGAAAGAGTTTCCCTCCTTAGTCCAAGCTGGAGTCTAAGTGGTGAGATCTTGGCTCATTGCAACCTGTGCCTCCTAGGTTCAAATGATTGTCCTGACTCAGCCTCCCTAGTAGCTGTGATTACAGGTGCACGCCACCATGCCTGGCTAATTTTTGTATTTTTTTAGCACAGACGGGATATCCCAATTTTGGGCAGGCTGCTCTCAAACTCCTGACCTCAAGTGAGGTGCCTGCCTCGGTTTCCCAAAGTGCTGAAGTTACAGGCATAAGCCACTATGCCCAGCCTCCTTTTAGTTTTTTAAAGAATTTCCATACTTTTCTCCATAATAGTTGTACTAATTTACATTCCTACCAACAGGGTACCAGGGTTCTCCTTTCTCTACCATCTTGCCAGCATTTGTTTTGCCTGTCTTGCAGTAAAAGCCATTTTACTTTACTTTATTTTATTTATTTATTTATGTTGAGATGGAGTTTCACTCATAGTCTCCCAGGCTGGAGTGCAAGGGTGTGATCTCAGCTCACTGCAACCTCCGCCTCCCGCGTTCAACTGATTCTCCTGCCTCAGCCTCCAAAGTAGCTGGGATTACAGGCATGTGCCACCACGCCTAGCTAATTTTTGTATGTTTAGTAGAGAGGGAGTTTCTCCATGATGGTCAGGCTGGTCTCCCGACCTCAGGTGATCCGCCCACCTCCGCCTCCTGAAGTGCCGGAATTACAGGCGTGAGCCACCGGCCTAAAAGGCATTTTAATGGGATGAGATGAAAACTCATCGCGATTGTAATTTACATTTCTCTGATGATGAGTGATGCCGAGTACTTTTTCATATACGTGATCGCCATTTCTATGTTTTGTTTGTGGAGAAATGTCTCCTCATGTCTTTTGCTCGTTTTTTAATTAAATTGTTTTATTGAGTTGTTTGAGCTTCTTATATTTCCAGTTATTAATCCCGTCTCAGATGAATAGTTTGCAAATATTTGCTCCTATTTTGTCGGTTGTCTCTTCACTTTCTTGGTTTATCTTTTGTGGTGCAGAAGTTGCTTGGTTTGATGTAATCCTAATGGTCTATTTTTTGCTTTGATTACTTGTGTTTTGAAGGTTTTAAACAAAATGTCTTTCGTCAGACAAATGTCTTCCCCATTATTTTCTTCTACATGTTTCATAGGTTCAGGCCTTAGACTCATGTTTTTAATCCATTTTCATTTGATTTTTGTGTATGGTGACAGGTATAGATGCAGTTTTATTCCTCTGCATATAGATATCCAGTTTTCCCCACACCATTTATTGAAAAGACTGTCCTTTCCTGATTGTAAGTTCTCGGCACCTTTGTCAAAGTCCATTAAATGGGCTGGGTATGGTGGCTCACACCTGCAATTCCAGCACTTTGGGAGGCCGAGGCGGGTGGATCACCTGAAGCCAGGAGTTCAAGATCAGGCTGGCCAACAGAGTGAAACCTCGTCTCTACTAAAAATACAAAAATTAGCTGAGCATGGTGACCAGTGCCTGTAATACCACTACTCGGGTGTTTGAGGCAAGAGAATTGCTTGAATCCAGGAAGTGGAGGTTGCATTGAGCTGAGATTGCACCTCTGCACTCCAGCCTGCATGACAGAGCAAGATTCTAACACACACACACACAAAAAAAGCCATTGGATGTAAATGCATGGATTATATCTGTGTTCTCCATTCTGTTTCATTTTTTATGTGCCTTTCTTTATGCCAATGTCATGCTGTTTTGCTTACTACAGCTCTGTAACATATTTCTAAGTCAGGTAGTGTGATGCTCCTGTTTTCTCTTTATACCTTCAAGTCTCAAGACAGTGGGCATCGCACACAAAAATTATGGAGAAGAGGATCCCAAGACTCCCAGGGTCCAACATTAGATAACAGAGTGTTGGCCATGAACCAACCTCAAAGATTTCCATTGAGTAGAGGACAAGCACCCTCATTTCCTCACATCTCTCCTGTCCCATGTTCTAGGAAACCCTTCAAGTAGTTGGCCTTCACCCACAGAACCAAGCTCCAAATCTGGTGAGTAAAGGACCCCTCTTATCTCTGCTTTTGGAAACCTGGGGAGGTGGAAGCCTTGGATGCAAGTGTTGGCTCAAACCTCCCAGCTCTGTGAATGAGGGCCTGTCTTCCACCATCTCTGAACTCCAGACACTCCAACAGTGAAAGGGATCTAGGGCCACCAAAGGACTCAGCGAAGTCTCTTAACCTTTAATGTCCTGCAGGTGAGACCTCCTACAAGCTAGAAGAATGATTGCCAATCTGACATCCTTCTCAGGAAACATGCAGTGTTTTTTCTTCCTGCATTCCTAACTGGAGGATAAATTCCTGGGGACTTGAGAGAGGGAAGGGAAGGGAACATCTGATGAGGGCGAGGTGTTTTAGAGAAGTTCCACTTGCCAAGGAATGAATTACTGTTGGTCATGAAGCAACCCTGGCTGACTCAGCAGAGCAAGAGCCTTGCCGTAACAGAGAACAGAGCTCATGCACGCACACTTCGACTCACTGACTCATTCAGCCACGGCCCCATGCTCAGGCTGTGCAGTTGGAATCCTTTCCTATTGTTGCCATAACAAATTTCCACAAGATTCGTGGGTGAAAACAAAACGGTTTTTTAATTATCTTACAGTGCTGTAGCTCAAAGTAGGAAGTGCATCTTACTGGGCTAAAATCAAGGTGACAGCAAGGCTGCCTTCCCTCTGAGGATTCCAGGCAAGAATCTGCTTCTCACTTGTCCCAGCTTCTAAAGGCTCCCAGTTCCTTGGCTCCTGGTCCCCTTCCTCCTTCCTCAAAGCCCACAAAGACTGGTCACATCTCACATGGCATCACTCAGACCCTTCTTCCTTACCACACCTCTTTCTCTGAATGCTGCTCTCCCTTCTTCCTTATCTTTTGAAAACTTGGGGATTCTATTGGGTTCACCAAGATGAAAATCCATCATAATCTCCCGGAAATCATTCAGGATACCCTTGTTTTCAGTTCAGCTGACTAGCAACCGTAATTCCATCTGCAATCTTCATTCCTTCTTTCCATGTAAAATAAGATATTCACAAGCTATGGAGGCTAGGACAGGGACATTTTGGGGTGGGACAGCATTCTCCTGCCTTCCACGAACGGTGAACAAGATGCATTTGGCCTCTGCTCTTGGGACACTGATATTGCAGATGGTTAAATGGGAGGACAGAAAATGAATGCACAAGTGGACCAATAAATGAATGATCCATTGGGAAGCATCTGTGCATGAAATCTATTTGTTTGTTCGTTCATTTATTTATTGAGACAGAGTCTCCCTCTGTCTTCCAGGCTACAGTGCAGTGTCACGATCTTGGCTCACTGCAACCTGCGTCTCCTGGATCCAAGTGATTCTCCTGCCTCACCCTCTCGAGTAGCTGGGATTACAGGCAACTGCCACCATGCCCGGCTAATTCTTTTTGTATATTTTTTGTAGAGAGGATGTTTCACCATGTTGGCCAAGCTTGTCTGAAACTCCCAACCTCAAGTGATCCGACCATCTCAGCAACCCAAAGTACTGGGATTACAGGCGTGAGCCACTTTGCCCAGCCAGAATTCAAAATAAATAATAGATAATGCTGAGTGTATAATTTTGGGTGACAGAGAAGGTCTCACTAATCAGATATTTGTGACATTAATGAAAAACACGGATTGAACCCCTGAAAGATTGGCGGAAGGATTTTCCACACACAGCTGTCAGCCGTGAAGGCAGAAAGCTGAAAACAATCTGATGTGGAAGGAAGAGGCTCTGCCTGAAATGCTGGGAATGAGGTGGGGAGAATGACAAGACGACTGTGGAGAGACGGAGAGCACACTGGGTACACAGGAAACTAAGGAGCAACAAGGAGTGTGTGTTTGACACTCACAGCCATTGGATTCACCTCGGGGTAGCCAGGAATCCCTACATGATTAATAGTGACTGACATGAAAATAAGGGAGGCCCAGGTGCGTAACTGGAATCTAGGAGACAGTGGAAAAGGCAATTGCCGCCCCACTGGTGAAATGTGGTGCTGATTTAGACCCTAAGTGGATGAAGCAGATGGATATAAGCTATGTTTGGGAGGTAGAATCATTTGCAGGGAGGGCTTGCTGGGTTTGAGTTTCCTAGTTGTTTAATCCTTGCTAAATTAATTTCTTTCTGAGATTTATTCATCCTACACATAAATCAATACCTGGCAAAGGAGTGACAGATATATGAGGGGTGGTGGAAATGAAGGGACCTATTATAGCATAGTATACAAGTCTGTGAACGGTGGCTCACTCCTGTAACCCAGCACTGCAGGAGGCTAAGGCCAGTGGATTCCAAGAAGTCAGGAGTTCGAGACCAGCCTGGCCAACATGGAGAAACCCTATCTCTACATGGTGAAACCCTATCTCTCCTAAAAATACAAAAATTAGCCGAGCATGGTGGTGCATCCCTGTAATCCCAGCTCCTGCTCTGGAGGATGAAGCAGGAGAATGACTTCAACCCAGGAGGTGGAGGTTGCAGTGAGTGGAGATCGCATCACTGCACTCCAGCCTGGGTGACACAAGGAGACTCCATCTCAAAAAATAAAAATAAGAAATGCATAAATATAATAAAACACACACGAATGACAAAGGCACCTGAATTCCCATCATCATTTTTCTATTTCTCTATAATTACTTCTTTGATCCTTTATCTTATCCATTAGGCAATCAGCCTAAAACCTCTTCCGTATTTGGCTTTCTGTGAGCATGAGATCATATAGAAAATGTGAAAGCCCGCTGAATCCTCCAGCACAAATCCTGGAATAGAGAAAGTGCTCTGGTCATCACAAAAAAAACTTGCCCCCTCACCCAAATCCCCCATCTCACCCCTACTTCCAATCACCTGTGGAGATACAGATAGATCATGGGGAGGTAAATGCTAATACTCCTTGGAGTGAGTCCAGATCTTGGAATCAGAGATCAGTGCCAGCACTAGCTCCTGCTCCCCTTTCCTACTAATTCACAGGAGGACAGGTGGTATTGAAGCAATAGATAGTCGAGGGGGTGGTCCTTCCCCCAGCCTCTGAGGTAGAACAGCAGCCTAACATGTGTCTCCCGAGATCACAAAGAGTAGCACATTTCACACGGGCTTCAACACTATTTTCTGGCTGTTTGACATAAGAGAATTCTACTTCGCTTTTTTTATATTGATTTCACTTTTGTTTCCTTTTCTTGGAGAATGCAAGTTGTTTAACTCAAGAATGCCGTGGATGTAGAAATCCTAAAGCACATTCGCTGTGTATCAATCCCAGTCCAGTCTTCCCAGAGAAGACTCTAAACACCTCCTGGACTGCACCTGGGCCTATGCCAATTCCTATCACTCACCGTCACTCCAGGGAGACAGAACACACAGAGAATACGTTACATAGGCAGGTTCATTACTAACAGATAAGCAGCGAGTGACAACAGAAGCCTACATTTCAATGTGAGCCAGTTCCCCAAGGCTCAGAAAAGCTGCTCGAGACATGTGGAGTCACCCCATTTGCAGTGTAGCTGGGGGAAGCCAGAAAGCAGCCCAGCCTGGGTTTTGTACCCTGGAGCCACAGGAAGCACTCAGCTAAAGCACTGCATGACGTCCTCCTCCAGGAAGAACAGGAAGACAGCCCAGGCTGTTCTGGGACGATCCTCCTGATCTCAGGACTTTGCTGTCTTAGTCCATTTTTGTTGCTCTAAAGGAACACTTGAGCCTGGGTAACTTCTAAAGAAGAGATTGGTTTGCCTCACCATTCTGCAGGCTGTACTGGAAGCATGGCACCAGCATCTATTTCTTATGATGGCCTCAGGCCGCTCCCACTCTGGCAGAAGGGAAGGAGGGTCTGTCTGTGCAGAGACCACAGAGATCACACGGCAAGAGAGGGAGCAAGGGGGAGGGGGAGCAATGGAGCTTCCAAGCTCTTTTTAACAACCAGCTCTCCAGGAACTAATAGAGAGGGAACTTGCTAACCCCGTCTCCTTGGGACAGCATTGATCTGTTCATGATGGATCCACCTCCATGACCCAAACACCTCCCAAGAGGCCCAACCTCCCACACTGGGGGTTAAATTTCAATGTGAGGTTTGAAGGGGTCAAACATCTCAACTAAAGTAGTTGTATCCTCAGCACGTTCCATGGTTACTATGAGAGCTATAACTGAGAAAGCAGGAGGAAGCTAGGTCTCCCGCCATCTGGGTGCTTGTCCGAAAGAGATGCTGTAAGTGGTTACCTGTCAATCAAGAAATGCAAGACAATTCATATAGAGAAACTGCTATGATTAGCTTCTTACTGGTGTCTCCTCTTCTTCCAGGTAACCCCAGACACCTGCACATTCTGATTGGGACCTCAGTGGTCATCATCCTCTTCATCCTCCTCCTCTTCTTTCTCCTTCATCTCTGGTGCTCCAACAAAAAAAGTAAGTCTCACGGGGCACAGGCCAGAGAGCTCAGGGCCATGTGGGGAAGCAGGATGGGAGCACACAGCTGTGTGTTCCTCACTGGCAGGATGGTCCCTGGCCCAAGACAGGAGCCACAGAGGCAGGACTTTCTAGAGAGAGCACCAGACTCCCTGCCCCTGCCTTCAGCTCACAGACCGTTGCCTGATTCTGAACTGTATCCTCATGTCCCCTGCAGCCACTCACATCCAGGAGAAGGTTCCATGAGAGGCAGAAAGTGGGAGACAGAATCAATGGGATGGGAACTCAGAGCTATTCATGGGATGGGTCCTTGAGCTCAGAGAGATAGAATGTCTGAGTCTGCTGTTGGCAACTGAGGGACCTCAGGCACCTATGGCCTCCCCCTGTTTGTTGGTATCTGCTTATGAAATGAGGACCCAGAAGTGCCCTCCGAGCTCTTTTGTTGACTTCCGTCTCCTACAGATGCTGCTGTAATGGACCAAGAGCCTGCAGGGAACAGAACAGCCAACAGCGAGGTAGGTGCTCCTCGGCCCAGCCTCGTGGCTAGTGTTATTCCCAAACAGTCCTGGAAAACGTGAGCACCCTCCCTCACTCAGCATTTCCCTCCCTCACTCAGCATTTCCCTCTCTCCAGGACTCTGATGAACAAGACCCTGAGGAGGTGACATACGCACAGTTGGATCACTGCGTTTTCACACAGAGAAAAATCACTCGCCCTTCTCAGAGGCCCAAGACACCCCCTACAGATACCATCTTGTACACGGAACTTCCAAATGCTAAGCCCAGATCCAAAGTTGTCTCCTGCCCATGAGCACCACAGTCAGGCCTTGAGGACGTCTTCTAGGGAGACAACAGCCCTGTCTCAAAACCGAGTTGCCAGCTCCCATGTACCAGCAGCTGGAATCTGAAGGCGTGAGTCTTCATCTTAGGGCATCGCTCCTCCTCACGCCACAAATCTGGTGCCTCTCTCTTGCTTACAAATGTCTAGGTCCCCACTGCCTGCTGGAAAGAAAACACACTCCTTTGCTTAGCCCACAGTTCTCCATTTCACTTGACCCCTGCCCACCTCTCCAACCTAACTGGCTTACTTCCTAGTCTACTTGAGGCTGCAATCACACTGAGGAACTCACAATTCCAAACATACAAGAGGCTCCCTCTTGACGTGGCACTTACCCACGTGCTGTTCCACCTTCCCTCATGCTGTTTCACCTTTCTTCGGACTATTTTCCAGCCTTCTGTCAGCAGTGAAACTTATAAAATTTTTTGTGATTTCAATGTAGCTGTCTCCTCTTCAAATAAACATGTCTGCCCTCATTGCTTCAGGTAATGTGACACTGTATTCGCTGAAAGAAACCGCTGTTATCATTACCATGTCCACATAACCCCATCTGTTCTCCGCTGGGTTCTCACCCCTGGATTCTGAGCTTCTGGAAGCAGGGTGGAGCCTCATTTGTCTCTGGGACTCCAATTTCCATCCAAAGATGCAGCACATAGGAGGTTCCAAGGATCGTGAATCACATGAACAAGTGATATTCTTACTCTCTGCAACCTGGAAAGCTGGCAGAGTCATTCCACGATGAAACATTTGTAGAGTCATAAGCCTTGCTAGTCTCATCTCCACGGGGACACATATCAACACATCATATTTCATACTATAAATATACAGTCGCTCCTCCATATCTGTGGGGTTTACAGGTGTTTATTGAACCAAGTGTAAATCAAAAATATTCAGAGAAAATGTCCACAAAGTTTCAAAATGCAAAACTATGTTGAATGGACACAAATGAGGCAGTGTGTAGGCTGTATCAGGAATTATAAGTAATCAAGAGATGATTTCATGTATACAGGAGGATGTGCATGGGTTATATCCAAATGCTGTGTCATTTTATGTAAGAGGCTTGAGCATCTGCAGATTTTGGTACCTGAGTGGAGATCCTGAAACCAATCACCCACGAATAGTAAAGGATGACCGTATATGACTTTTATTTCTCAATTTTAAATATAAATCATAAAAAATGTACAATAACTAGATAAAAAGTAAGAAGTGTTTTTATAGTGTGAGAATAAGTTTAGATTTATTTTTTCCTACGTGTAACCCTTTGGTTTAATATTATTTATTAAGAAGACATTCTATGCCACCTTAAACCACACGGCAGCCTTTGTCAACTCTAAAGGGACTGTGTGTACACGGATGTATTTTAGACACTGTTTCTGCTAAGGGGCTCTCTGTGTCCACACTCTTGAGGATGCTGCACTTCATGTAGCCTTATAAAACCCTTTAAATTTAGTAGCCAGAGCCCTCTAATTTGTTATTATAGGCTACTTGCTATTTTTTTTTCTTGAGGCGGAGTCTTGCTCTGTCGCCCAGGCGGGACTGTAGTGGAGCAATCTCAGCTCACTGCAACTTCCGCCTCCCAGGTTCAGGCGATTCTCGTGCCTCAGCCTCTTGAGTAGCTGGCGTTACAGGTGCCTGCCACCAGGCACGGCTAATTTTTGGATTTTTAGCAGAGACACGGTTTCACTATGTTGGCCAGGCTGCTCTCAATCTCCTCATCTCAGTTGATCCGCCCACCTCGGCTTCCCGACCTGCTGGGGGAAACTTGATTTTCTATAGCATTATGTTACTGGATATTTCTGTAAAATTTAAAATGAGGGAGGCAGAGAGACAGAGAGAGAGCAAACTCCAAAGTTGGGACTCTGGAATCTTGAGTCATGAGACAAATTATAGATAAAACTACAAAAATCCAGAATTTACATGTGTGGTTTTTGCTGATAAAGTACAATTCTAAGATTGTAAATAATTGCATAATCCTTCCCTGGGAATTTAAATCATTTGAACTGGTTCTGCTGTAATACTAGAAATACAAGCATGAACAATTCTAATGGTTTATTAGTCACAATGACTCTGAAAACACTAATAATACCTATTAGATATTTTGCATATTACACAGGAAGAAGAGTTCGAATCTCAGATAAAAACAATAAAAATTCATGAAAAGTCTTTCATGTTAGCACAGATTTTAGGCATCTCATGTTTGGGAGGTTGGATCTAAGACATGTTTTGAGTTGGTCATAGTGAAGGACGCGAGGTGTCAATTCTAGTGAGAGCAATTTCCAGGAAGCCATGTTCCGCTCTTGAGCGAGCACCCACTGGGCCTCATGCAAGGTAGAAAAAGCCTGCGTACGTCACCCTCCCATGATGTGGTCAACATGTAAACTGCATGGGCAGGGCGCCAAATAACATCCTGTGTGCTGCTGAGCTGAGCTGGGGCGCGGCCGCCTGTCTGCACCGGCAGCACCATGTCGCTCATGGTCATCATCATGGCGTGTGTTGGTGAGTCCTGGAAGGGAATAGAGGGAGGGAGCGTGGGGATGGAGATCTGGGCCCAGAGGTGGAGATATGGGCCTGGAGGTGGAGTTATGGGCCTGGAGTGGAGATCTGGGCCTAGAGATGGAGTGATGAGCCTAGAAGTGGAGATCTGCGCCTGGAGTGGAGATCTGGGCCTGGAGTGAAGATCTGGGCCTGGAGTGGAGATATGGGCCTGGAGTGGGGATAGGAACCTGGAGTGGAGAGAGGAACCTGGAGGAGAGATAGGAACCTGGAGGGGAGGTAGGAGCCTAGGGTGGAGATATGGGACTGGAGTGGAGATATGGGACTGGAGTGGAGATATGGGCCTGGAGTGGAGTTATGGGCCTGGAGTGAAGTTATGGGCCTGGAGGTGGAGATACGGGCCTGGAGTGGAGATATGAGCCTGGAGTGGAGATATGGTCCTGGAGTGGAGATATGGGCCTGGAGTGGAGATATGGGTCTGCAGTGGAGTTATGGGCCTGGAGTGAAGTTATGGGCCTGGAGGTGGAGATATGGGACTGGAGTGGAGATATGGGACTAGAGTGGAGATAGGGGCCTGGAGGTGGAGATCTGGGCCTGGAGTGGAGATCTGGGCCTGGAGTGGAGATCTGGGCCTGGAGTGGAGATATGGGCCTGGAGTGGAGATATGGGTCTGCAGTGGAGATATGGGCCTGGAGGTGGAGATATGGGCCTGGAGTGGAGTTATGGGCCTGGAGTGAAGTTATGGGCCTGGAGGTGGAGATATGGGCCTGGAGTGGAGATATGGGACTAGAGTGGAGATAGGGGCCTGGAGGTGGAGATCTGGGCCTGGAGTGGAGATATGGCCCTGGAGTGGAGATATGGGCCTGGAGTGGAGATATGAGCCTGGAGTGGAGATATGGCCCTGGAGTGGAGATATGGGCCTGGAGGTGGAGATATGGGCCTGGAGTGGAGTTATGGGCCTGGAGTGAAGTTATGGGCCTGGAGGTGGAGATATGGGCCTGGAGTGGAGATATGGGACTAGAGTGGAGATACGGGCCTGGAGGTGGAGATCTGGGCCTGGAGTGGAGATATGGCCCTGGAGTGGAGATATGGGCCTGGAGTGGAGATATGAGCCTGGAGTGGAGATATGGCCCTGGAGTGGAGATATGGGCCTGGAGTGGAGATATGAGCCTGGAGTGGAGATATGGCCCTGGAGTGGAGATATGGGCCTGGAGTGGAGATATGGGCCTGGAGTGGACATATGGGTCTGGAGTGGAGATACGGGCCTGGAGGTGGAGATATGGGCCTGGAGTGGAGATATGGGCCTGGAGGTGGTGATATGGGCCTGGAGTGTAGACATGGGCCGAGTGGAGATATGGGTCTGGAGTGGAGATATGGGCCTGGAGTGGAGATATGGGACTGGAGTGGAGATATAGGCATGGGGTGGAGACATGGGCCGGGAGTGGAGATATGGGACTGGAGTGGAGATACGGGCGTGGGGTGGAGATATGTGCCTGGAGGTGGAGATATGGGCGTGGGTTGGAGATATGGGCCTGGAGTGGAGATATGGGCGTGGGGTGGAGATATGGGTCTGGAGTGGAGACATGGGCATGGGGTGGAGATATGGGCCTGGTGTGTAGATATGGGCCTGGAGTGGAGATATGGCCCTGGAGTGGAGATATGGGCCTGGAGTGGAGATCTGGGCCTACGGTGGAGATATGGGCCTAGGATGGGGATATGGGCCTGGAATGGAGATATGGGCCTGGGTGTGGAGATATGGGACTGGAGTGGAGATATGGGCCTGATGTGGAGATATGGGCTTGGAGTGGAGATATGATCCTGGAGTGTAGTTATGGGCCTGGAGGTGGAGATCTGGGCCTGGGGTGGAGATATGGGCCTGGAGTGGAGATATGGGACTGGAGAGGAGATATGGGACTGGAGTGGAGATATGGGCCTGGAGTGGAGATATGGGCCTGGATTGGAGATATGGGCCGAGGGTGGAGATCTGAGCCTGGATTGGAGATGTGGGCCCGGATTGGCTATATGGGTCTAGGGTGGAAATATCGGCCTGGAGTGGAGATATGGGCCTGGAGTGGAGATATGGGCTTGGGGTGGGGATATGGGCCTGGAGGCTGGGTCTCTGTACAGCCGAGAGCACTGTTCTTGGGTGCAGGTAGGCACTGATGGTGAGTTTACCTTCGGCCCAGGAAGGGGCTGGCTATCAAGACTCACAGCCCAGTGGGGGCAGCAAGGAAGGCCTTGTTTGCCTGCAAATGGATCTTCCATCATGATCTTTCTTTCCAGGGTTCTTCTTGCTGCAGGGGGCCTGGCCACAGGAGGGTAAGTCCTTCTCCAAACCTTAGGGTGTCATCTCCCCACATAAGAGGATTTTCCTGAAACGGGAGGGAAGTCCTGTCAGGGAGTCTCTCATAAACTAGGAAGAGGGGACCCTGGGGTGCTCGGCCCACAGTTCCGACCTTGCCTCCCTGGCCTCTCAACCCCTTGGCAGAGTCAAGTTGTGTGGGGACCAGGGTTGGACTAGGGTGTTCAAAGCTGGGTTGTGTGGTGGGGAAGTGGTAGGAACAGCAGATCCTCTGAGGACAAAGGTGTTACTCACACACTTCAGCGTTTCCATGACGGTAGGGGCTGCAGTGTGGCTGCTGTCATTCTACCAGAAGAGGTGGGAAACCACAGCCATGGCCCTGACATTCCAAATCCTCTGATGGGGGCTAAGTTTTTTATTTTCATTCAGGCAACTGCTGATATTCCATTCTCAAAGGACATGCCCTCCACTTCATGTCTACCCTGTGTTGTTTTATGTCAGTAATCTTACAGTATTAAAATCTAGTAGGAGTCTCTTACTCAGCACTTGCTCAAAGTTCTCAGCTGACACTTTTGTTGTACGGAGACACCTTGTCTTTGTGGGATGGGTCCTTCCTTTAGCCCTAGGCACCAAGGTGTGATAGCAGCCATAGAAATGTGGAAAGTGGGGAGAATCTTCTGAGCACAGGGAGGGAGGCACAGCTCCACATCCTCCTCTCTAAGGCGGCGCCTCCTTCACCCCAAGGTGGTCAGGACAAGCCCTTGCTTTCTACCTGGCCCAGCCTTGTGGTGCCTCCAGAACATGTGACTCTTCAGTGTCACTCTAATCTTGGGTTTAACAACTTCAGTCTGTACAAGGATGATGGGGTGCCTGTCCCTGAGCTGTACAACAGAATATTCTGGAAAAGCCTTTTCATGGGCCCTGTGACCCCGTCACATGCAGGGACCTATAGATGCCGGGGTTCACACACACACTCCCCCAGTGGGTGGTCGGCACCCAGCAACCCCCTGGTGATCATGGTCACAGGTCAGAGGGCTCCTGTCTGGGATTCTCCTTGTCCCACCTCCTGAATCCCAGAGCTTCTGGTAGGCATGTCCTTGAGGGTCCCATCACGCAGGCCCTAACTGTATTTGGGGTAAAGGGGGATTGAATACAGGGAAATGGGTGCTGTGGTGGGAAGAATAAGTGTCCCCAGTGATGACTGCATTCTAATCCCTGGAGTCTGTGACTATTTATGTTATAGGGGAAGGGACTGAAGGGGAAGATGGAGCTCAGGTTGTTGATGAGTTGACCTTGAGATGGGGAGACAGCCTGGACTGTCCCGGTGGGCTCAATATAATCACAAGTGTCCACATGAAAGGAGGAGGAAGAGGAGAGTGGGGATTAGAGCAGCGTAGTGGGAGACTCCATTAGCTTTGAAGGTGGATGAAGGCCATAAGCCATGAATGCAGGTGGCCTATAGAGGCTGGGAAAGTCAAGTAACTGATTCTCCTGAGTCTCCAGAGGGAACACAGCCCTGCAGATGCCTTGATTTTAGCCCTCGAAAAACAGGGTCCGCTTTCTGTCTCCAGAATCGGAGGGGGTCAGTGTGCTCTCTCCTGCTGCCATGCTTCTGATAATTTTCTACAGCAGCAACAGGAAACCAACACTGGAACCCAGGTCAAGGACAAGTTAAGAAAAGACACAAGGATAGCCAGGCATGGTGGCAGGTGCATGTAATCCTAGCGACTCGGGAGGCTGAGAGCAGGAGAATCGCTTGAACCCAGGAGACAGAGGTTGCAGTGAGCGTAGACCACACCACTTCACTCCAGCCTGGGTGAAGGAGTGAGACTCTGTCTCCAAAATTAATTAATTAATTAAAGAAACCAAACAAAGAGAAGGTTGGCTACACCGAGATCAGCAAGGGTGGGATGATGATGCCACCACCAGGCTCCATCCACATAGGGAGGGGTTGATACTCCTCAAATCAGCACGAGGAGCCAGCCTATGGAAACTGGCACCATGGAGAAGGCACAGACATGGCAAGAGTGGCTCCCAGTCCCCACCAGGAACAGGGTGTGTGGACACTGGTGCCTGCCTTACTGATCAGTTCATACCTCCTGCCAAGGATTCCAATTCGTCCAAAAGAGATTGAACCAGGCTGCTAAGAGCCGGGACGTGCAGCCTATCCTGCTTCCTCTTCCACTCCCACATAGACAGTAAGAAAGACATTAGTGTGAAATAGATACAACAGCCCAAGAGATGAGGCTGAGCCCAGTGGGAAGGGAATCACAGCTACTAGAGACAGAGGGACAGAGAAGAGGGAGGGAGACAGATGGAAGGACCTGCACCAGGAGTTATGGGCACAGAAAAGAACATGAAGACACAGAGAGGAAGCAGAGAGACAGACACCAGCGAAGGGAAGTCTCACTCATTCCAGGTGCCATGGATGGGATGATAAAGAGAGACACCTTCTAAACTCACAACCTCTCTTCCTAGGAGTCCACAGAAAACCTTCCTTCCTGGCCCTCCCAGGTCACCTGGTGAAATCAGAAGAGACAGTCATCCTGCAATGTTGGTCGGATGTCATGTTTGAGCACTTCCTTCTGCACAGAGAGGGGAAGTTTAACAACACTTTGCACCTCATTGGAGAGCACCATGATGGGGTTTCCAAGGCCAACTTCTCCATTGGTCCCATGATGCCTGTCCTTGCAGGAACCTACAGATGCTACGGTTCTGTTCCTCACTCCCCCTATCAGTTGTCAGCTCCCAGTGACCCTCTGGACATGGTGATCATAGGTGAGAGTGTCCAGACATTCTTCTCATTGTCATTGGGATGCAGAGTGAATGATCCAGGACTTGGAGACCCAGGTGGTTGTAAGGAAGATGAGCTTGGTATTCTTATGGAGAGAGACTGACTTGGTGAGGTCTGTGCCAACAGAGACAGAGAAACAAGAGACACAAGTACAGACCAGGTGTCATAACAGAGGACAAACACAGGGGCCATACCGGGAGTTAGAAAAGACAGAAAGAGTTAAAGGAGACAGACAGACATGTCCCAGACAGAGGTGTCCTTCCATGCTGACTTTGCTCAGAGACCTGGCACAGGTTAGAAGTTTCATTTCTGTTTTACCTCCACAAAGTGTTCTCTACCAGGAGAACCCAAGGACACCCATATTTCTGACCTGAGTTGGGCCCTGTGGCCTCAGGCCTTGTGGCACCTACAGATGCCATGCTTATTCTGACACCTCTGACTTCCATGCAATGGAGAATAATCGTCCCAAAATATCATGGCCCCAGAACACCAACCCCTGTATGCTGTGTGAACTTGTGGTCTCCAGACTGGATTCTGAGGCTCACATTCCAAATAACCCCACATATCACATATGAGAGGATCACTGAGAAGCACAGAGAGAAATCAGGGACACCAAAAAGCAAAGACATAAACACACAGAGAAAGAGCCAGAGGAAGGAGATTGAGAGACTCACAGACACATAAAGAGAGAGAAGAGGGCAGAGAAGTGGAGAGAATGATGGAAGAGAGCAGAGAAAACCACTAAAATTAGAGTCCTGAGGGCGAGGCACAAGGGCATAGAAAGATGGAGATGTGGGGATGAATTGCAGAGATTCCAAAGAGAACTAGAGAGACCGAGAGGCAGAGCAAGACAGATGATAGATGGATAGATACAGATAGATGATGGATAGATATAGATAGATGATATATAGGTAGATGATAGATAATAGGTTATAGATACATAGATGATGATTGATTGATTCATTAATAGATGATACATAGAGATGATGATGATGAAGATAGATGGATAGATAATACATAGAGATAGAGAGGAAGACAAAGAGAGAAATAATAGAGAGAGAGAGATGATACATATATATAGATAATAGATGATTGACGGATAGACAATTGATAGATAAATAGATGATATATAGATATAGATGACAGGTAGAGAATTTGTAGATAGGCACCGAATAGATAAATAGATGGATTGATAGATAATAGATAGAAATATGCAGAAAGTTATGAACGGGACACAAACTGAGAAACTCAGAGTTAAAAAAAGTAACATCAAGTCAACCAATCCAAGGAGAGCCAGAGAGAATAAAACAATCCAAAAAAGGAAAACATAACTAGAGGTAGGGAAGTGAGGTCAGAGACCTACAGAGACAGAGAAGGTGGAAGGAGGAAATAGACATGAAGAGAGATAGGGTGGAGGGTGAGACAGAGAAAGAGAGCATTAGGCCATAGAGCAGGGGAGTGAGTTCTCAGGTCAGGTGTGAGGGGAGCTGTGACAAGGAAGATCCCCCCTGAGGAAACTGCCCCTTCTCCTTCCAGGTCTATATGAGAAACCTTCTCTCTCAGCCCAGCCGGGCCCCACGGTTCAGGCAGGAGAGAATGTGACCTTGTCCTGCAGCTCCCGGAGCTCCTATGACATGTACCATCTATCCAGGGAAGGGGAGGCCCATGAACGTAGGCTCCCTGCAGTGCGCAGCATCAACGGAACATTCCAGGCCGACTTTCCTCTGGGCCCTGCCACCCACGGAGGGACCTACAGATGCTTCGGCTCTTTCCGTGACGCTCCCTACGAGTGGTCAAACTCGAGTGATCCACTGCTTGTTTCCGTCACAGGTGAGGAAACCTCATATCTGTCCCATGTCCTATGATCCTAGAGCCTTAGCTGAGGAGCTTCCTGCTGATGATGGAGAGAAGCATGGACAGATGCAGAGAGAAGACGCAGCATGCCTGTGAGGGAGGGATCAGGGCGCAGGATGGCACACACAGCACCTCCAAACCCTCCTGCATGGCCTGCATGGAGGCCTCCGATTAGGGCTCCAGAAACCCAGGCAGATGTAGAAAGCGGTCAGGAGAGACCCAGAGAAGGGGAGACTGGGCTCAGTTTGGGGAGATCAGAGGTTCCCTCAGCCCCTCAACCTTACCCATTTCCCAGAAGCCCTTCCTGGCCTCTCACCCACACAGAGATGTCATCACCAGCAACCCCTACATCCTTTTCTTTTTGTTTGAAAAAATATTCATTGAGGTTAAATATACCTATATAGCTTACCACTTTTAACATTTTTTTTTTTTTGAGGTGGAGTCTAGCTCTGTCTCCTATGCTGGAATGCAGTGGCACAATCTCAGCTCACTGTAACCTCCGCCTCCTGGGTTCAAGCGATTCTCCTGCCTCAGCCACCTGAGTAGCTGGTACTACAGGCGCCCATCACCACGCCGGGCTACTTTTTGTATATTTAGTAGAGAGGGGGTTTCACCATGTTGGTCGAGCTGCTCTGGAACTCCTGACCACGTGATCCACCCGCCTCAGGCTCCCAAAGTGCTGGGATTACAGGCATGAGCCACCGCGCCCGGCCACGTTTACCAATTTTAAGTGTAAGGTCTAGTGGTCATAAATACATACATATAAATTTTTTGTTTGTTTGTTTTATCCTCCACCCTTTTCTTCCTGGCCTCTGGTAGCCACCATTCTACTCTCTATCTTCATGAGATCCACCTTTTAGCTCCTGTATATGGGTGAGAAATGAGAATATTTGTAATGACTTCCAGTTCCATCCATGTGGCTGCAAATATCAGGATGTTATTCTTTCTATGGATGAGTAGTCTCCGCTGTGCGTATGTACTACATTCTCTCTATCCATTCATCCACTGATGGGCAGGTAGGTTGACTCCACATCTTGGCTACTGTGAAGAGTGCTGCACCAATCATACGAGTGCAGATATCACTTCGATACATTGATTTACTTTCCTTTGGATATAAACCCAGTAGTGAAATTGCTGGATACTATGAAAGTTCTCTTTTTAGTTTTTCGTTTGTTGTTTTGTTTTTGTTTTTGAGACAGTTTCCCTCTGTGCCCAGGCTGGAGTACAAGTGATGTGATCTTGGCTCATTGCAACCTCCGCCTCCTGGGTTCAAATGATTTTCCTGCCTCAGCCTCCCTAGTAGCTGGGATTACAGGTGCACGCCACCATGCCGGGATACTTTTTGGTTTTTTTTAGTGTACATGGGGTTTCCCCAGGTTGGCTAGGCTGCTCTCAAACTCATGACCTCAACTGAGGTGCCCGCCTCGGTCTCCCAAAGTGCCGGGATTACAGGCATGATCCACTTCATCCAACCTCTTTTTAGTTCTTTAAAGGACTTCCATACTTTTCTCCGTAATGGCTGTACTAATTTACACTCCTACCAACAGGGTACCAGGGTTCTCCTTTCTCTACCACCTTGCCAGCATTTGTTTTGCCTGTCTTGCAGCTAAAAGCCATTTTATTTTATTTCATTTTATTTTGAGATGGAGTTTCGCTCTTGTCACCCAGGCTGGAGTGCAGTGGTGCGATCTCGGCTCACCGCAACCTCCACCTCCCAGGTTCAAGCGATTCTCCTGCCTCAGCCTCCCGAGTAGCTGGAATTACAGGCACACACCACCACGCCCGACTAATTTTTGTATTTTTAGTAGAGACAGCGTTTCTCCATGTGGGTCAGACTGGTCTCAAACTCCCGACCTTATGAGATTCGCCCACCTCGGGCTCTCAGAGTTCTAGGATGACAGACGTGAGCCACCTCGCCCGGCCTAAAAGCCATTTTAATGGGGTGAGATGAAAACTCACTTTGATTTTAATTCGCGTTTCTCTGATGATGAGTGATACTGAGCACTTTTTCGTATGTGGGGAAATTTCATGTCTTTTGCTCCTTTTTCAATTAAATCATTTGTTTTATTGAGTTGTTTGAGCTTCTTATACTTCTAGTTATTAATCCCGTCTCAGATGCATAGTTTGCACATATTTGCTCCCAATCTGTGGGTTGTCTCTTCACTTTGTTGGTTTATTTTTAGCGGTGCAGAAGTTGCTTAGTTTGAGGTAATCCCAATGGTCTATTTTTGCTTCGATTACTTGTGTTTTGAAGGTTTAAAACAAAATGTCTTCCTTCAGACAAATGTACTGGAGCATTTCCCCAATATTTTCTTCTACGTGTTTCACAGGTTCAGGCCTTAGACTCACATCTTTAATCCACTTTCATTTGATTTTTGTGTATGGTGACAGGTAGAGGTGCAGTTTCATTCCTCTGCATGTAGATGTCCAGGTTTCCCTGCACTGTTTATTGAAAAAACTGTCCTTTCCTGATTGTGAGTTCTTGGCACCTTTGTCAAAGTCCATTGGATGGGCTGGGCATGGTGGCTAACACCAGCAACTTCAGCACTTTGGGAGGCCAAGGCTGGTGGATCACCTGAGGACAGGAGTACAAGATTACTCTGGCCGACGTGATGAAACATCGTCTCCACTAAAAATATAAAAATTAGCTGAGCATGGTGGTCAGCACCTGTAATACTACTACTCAGGAGTTTGAGGCAAGAGAATTGATTGAACCCAGGAGGCTGAGGTTGCAGTGAACCGAGATTGCACCTCTGCACTCCAGCCTGGGTGACAGAGCAAGACTCCATCTCAAAAGAAAAAATAAAAAAAATTGGATGTAAATGCATGGATTATATCTGTGTTCTTCATTCTGCTCCGTTGTTCTATGTGCCTTTCTTCATGCCAACATCATGCTGTTTTGCTTACTACAGCTCTGTAACATATTTTGAGATCAGGTAGTGTGATGCTCCTGTTTTCTCTTTATACCTTGAAGTCTCAAGACAGTGGGCGTCACATACAAAAATTATGGAAGAAAGGATCCCTGGACTCCCAGGGCCCAATGTTAGATAACAGAGTGTTGGCCATGAACCAAACTCAAAGATTTCCACTGAGTAGAGGACAGACACCCTCATTTCCTCACCTCTCTCCTGTCTCATGTTCTAGGAAACCCTTCAAATAGTTGGCCTTCACCCACTGAACCAAGCTCCAAAACCGGTGAGTACAGGACCCTCTTATATCCGCTTTTGGAACCCTGGGGAGGTGGAAACCTTGGATTCAGGCGTTGACTCAGCATCTCACAGCTCTGACATTGTACGCCTGTCTTCTACCATCTCCGAACTCCAGATACTCCAACAGCGAAAGGGATCTGGGCCCAACACAGGGCTCAGTGAAATCTCTTCATCTCTCATTTTATGGAGCTGAGACCTCCTACAAGCTAGAAGAATGATTGCCAATCTGACATCCTTCTCAGGAAAAACGCAATGTTTGTTCTGCTTGCATTCCTAACTGGAGGATAAATTCCTGGGGGCTTGAGAGAGGGAAGGGAAGCGAACATCTGATGAGGGCGAGGTGTTTTAGAGAAGTTCCACTTGCCAAGGAATGAGCTCCTGTTGGTCATGAAACAACCCTGGCTGACTCAGCAGAGCAAGAGCCTTGCCGTAACAGAGAACAGAGCTCATGCACGCACACTTTGACTCACTGACTTATTCAGCCACGGCCCCATGCTCAGGTTGTGCAGTGTGGAAGCTTTTCCTATTGTTGCCATAACAAATTTCCACAAGATTCGTGGGTGAAAACAAAACGGTTATTTAATTATCTTACAGTGCTCTAGCTCAAAGCATGAAGTGCATCTCACTGGGCTAAAATCAAGATGACAGCAAGCCTGCCTTCCCTCTGAGGATTCCAGGCAAGAATCTGCTTCTCACTTGTCCCATCTTATAAAGGCTCCCAGTTCCTTGGCTGCTGGTCCCTTTCCTCCTTCCTCAAAACCCACAAAGACTGGTCACATCTCACATGGCATCACTCAGACCCTTCTTCCTTACCACACCTCTTTCTCTGAATGCTGCTCTCCCTTCTTCCTCATCTTTTGAAAACTTGGGGATTCTATTGGGTTCACCAAGATGAAAATCCGTCATAATCTCCCGGAAATCATTCAGGATACCCTTGTTTTAAGTTCAGCTGATTAGCAACCATAATTCCATCTGCAATCTTCATTCCTCCTTTCCATGTAAAATAACATATTCACAAGCTATGGAGGCTAGGACAGGGACATTTTGGGGTGGGACAGCATTCTCCTGCCTTCCACAAATGGTGAACAAGATGCATTTGGCCTCTGCTCTTGGGACACTGATATTGCAGATGGTTAAATGGGAGGACAGAAAATGAATGCACAAGTGGACCAATAAATGAATGATCCATTGGGAAGCATCTGTGCATGAAATCTATTTGTTTGTTTGTTCGTTTGTTTATTGAGACAGAGTCTCCCTCTGTCTTCCAGGCTACAGTGCAGTGTCACGATCTTGGCTCACTGCAACCTGCGTCTCCTGGATCCAAGTGATTCTCCTGCCTCACCCTCTCGAGTAGCTGGGATTACAGGCAACTGCCACCATGCCCGGCTAATTCTTTTTGTATATTTTTTGTAGAGAGGATGTTTCACCATGTTGGCCAAGCTTGTCTGAAACTCCCAACCTCAAGTGATCCGACCATCTCAGCAACCCAAAGTACTGGGATTACAGGCGTGAGCCACTTTGCCCAGCCAGAATTCAAAATAAATAATAGATAATGCTGAGTGTATAATTTTGGGTGACAGAGAAGGTCTCACTAATCAGATATTTGTGACATTAATGAAAAACACGGATTGAACCCCTGAAAGATTGGCGGAAGGATTTTCCACACACAGCTGTCAGCTGTGAAGGCACAAAGGTGAAAACAATCTGATGTTGAAGGAAGAGGCTCTGCCTGAAATGCTGGGAATGAGGTGGGGAGAATGACAAGATGACTGTAGAGAGATGGAGAGCACTCTGGGTACACAGGAAACTAAGGAGGAACAAGGAGTGTGTGTTTGACACTCACAGCCATTGGATTCACCTCGGGGTAACCAGGAATCCCTACATGATTAATAGTGACTGACAAGAAAATAAGGGAGGCCCAGGTGCGTAACTGGAATCTAGGAGACTGTGGAAAAGGCAATTGCCGCCCCACTGGTGAAATGTGGTGCTGATTTAGACACTAAATGAATGAAGTAGATGGATATAAGATATGCTTGTGAGGTAGAATCATTGGCTGGAAAGGCTTGCTGGGTTTGATTTTCCTACTTGTTTAATCCTCGCTTAATTAATTTCTTTCTGAGATTTATTCATCCTACACATAAATCAATACCTGGCAAAGGAGTGACAGATATATGAGGGGTGGTGGAAATGAAGGGACCTATTATAGCATAATATACAAGTCTGTGAACGGTGGCTCATGCTTGTAACCCAGCCCTGCAGGAGGCCAAGGCGGGTGGATTCCATGAAGTCAGGAGTTCCAGACCAGCCTGGCCAACATGGTGAAACCCTATCTGTACTAAAAATACAAAAATTAGCCGAGCATGGTGGTGCATCCCTGTAATCCCAGCTCCTACTCTGGAGGATGAAGCAGGAGAATGACTTCAACCCAGGAGGTGGAGGTTGCAGTGAGTGGAGATTGCATCACTGCACTCCAGCCTGGGTGACACAAGGAGACTCCGTCTCAAAAAATAAAAATAAGAAATGCATAAATATAATAAAACACACACGAATGACAAAGGCACCTGAATTCCAATCATCATTTTTCTATTTCTCTATAATTACTTCTTTGATCCTTTATCTTATCCATTAGGCAATCAGCCTAAAACCTCTTCCCTATTTGGCTTTCTGTGAGCATGAGATCACATAGAAAATGTGAAAGCCCGCTGAATCCTCCAGCACGGATCCTGGAATAGAGAAAGTGCTCTGGTCATCGCAAAAAAAAACTTGCCCACTCACCCAAATCGCCCACCTCACCCCTACTTCCAATCACCTGTGGAGATTCAGATAGACCATGGGGAGGAAACATTAATATTCCTTGGAGTGAGTCCAGATCTTGGAATCAGAGATCAGCGACAGCACTAGCTCCTGTTCCCCTTTCCTACTAATTCACAGGAGGACAGGTGGTATTGAAGCAATAGATGGTGGAGGGGGTGGTCCTTCCCCCAGCCTCTCGGGTAGAACAGCAGCCTAACATGTGTCTCCCGAGATCACAAAGAGCAGCACATTTCACACGGGCTTCAACACTATTTTCTGGCTGTTTGACATAAGAGAATCTTGCTTCGCTATTTTTAATCGTGATTTCACCTTTGTTTCCTTTCCTTGGTGAATGCAATTTGTTTGACTCAAGAATGCTGTGGATGTAGAAATCCTAAAGCACATTCGCTGTGTATCAATCCCAGTGCAGTCTTCCCAGAGAAGACTCTAAACAAATCCTGGACTGCACCTGGGCCTATGCCAATTCCTATCACTCACCGTCACTCCAGGGAGACAGAACACACAGAGGATACGTTACATAGGCAGGTTCATTACTAACAGATAAGCAGCGAGTGACAACAGAAGCCTGCATTTCAATGTGAGCCAGTCCCTCAAGGCTCAGAAAAGCTGCTCGGGACATATGGAGTCACCCCATTTGCAGTGTAACTGGGGGAAGCCAGAAAGCAGCCCAGCCTGGGTTTTGTACCCTGGAGCCACAGGAAGCACTCAGCTAAAGCACTGCATGACGTCCTCCTCCAGGAAGAACAGGAAGACAGCCCAGGCTGTTCTGAGACATTCCTCCTGATCTCAGGATGTTGCTATCTTAGTCCATTTTTGTTGCTCTAAAGGAACACTTGAGCCTGGGTAACTTCTAAAGAAAAGAGATTGGTTTGCCTCACAGTTCTGCAGGCTGTACTGGAAGCATGGCACCAGAATCTATTTCTCTTGACGGCCTCAGGCTGCTCCCACTCTGGCAGAAGGGAAGGAGGGTCTGTCTGTGCAGAGACCGCAGAGATCACACGGCAAGAGAGAGAGTAAGGGGGAGAGGGAGCGATGGAGCTTCCAAGCTCTTTTTAACAACCAGCTCTCCAGGAACTAACAGAGGGGGAACTTGCTAACCCCGTCTCCTTGGGACAGCATTGATCTGTTCATGATGGATCCACCTCCATGACCCAAACACCTCTGAAGAGGCCCAACCTCCCACAATGGGGGTGAAATTTCAATGTGAGGTTTGAAAGGGTCAAACATCTCAACTAAAGTAGTTGTATCCTCAGCACGTTCTATGGTTACTATGAGAGCTATAATTGAGAAAGCAGGGGAAAGCTAGGTCTCCCGCCATTTGGGTGCTTGTCCTAAAGAGACGTTGTATGTGGTTACCTGCCAATCAAGAAATGCGAGACAATTCATAAAGAGGAACTGCTATGATTAGCTTCTTATTGGTGTCTCCTCTTCTTCCAGGTAACCCCAGACACCTACATGTTCTGATTGGGACCTCAGTGGTCAAAATCCCTTTCACCATCCTCCTCTTCTTTCTCCTTCATCGCTGGTGCTCCGACAAAAAAAGTAAGTCTCACGAAGCAGAGGCCAGAGAGCTCAGGGCCATGTGGGGAAGCAGGATGGGAGCACGCGGATGTGTGTTCCTCACCAGCAGGATGGTCCCTGGCCCAAGACAGGAGCCACAGAGGCAGGACTTTCTAGAGAGAGCACCAGATTCCCTTCCCCTGCCTTCAGCTCACAGACCATTGCCTGATTCTGAACTGTATCCTCACGTCCCCTGCAGCCACTCACATCCAGGAGAAGGTTCCATGACAGGCAGAAAGTGGGAGATAGAATCAATGGGATGGGAACTCAGAGCTATTCATGGGATGGGTCCTTGAACTCAGAGAGATAGAATGTCTGAGTCTGCTGTTGGCAACTGAGGGACCTCAGGCACCTATGGCCTCCCCCTGTTTGTTGGTATCTGCTTATGAAATGAGGACCCAGAAGTGCCCTCCGAGCTCTTTTGTTGACTTCCGTCTTCTACAGATGCTGCTGTAATGGACCAAGAGCCTGCAGGGAACAGAACAGTGAACAGCGAGGTAGGTGCTCCTCGGCCCAGCCTCGTGGCTAGTCTTATTCCCAAAGAGTCCTGAAAAATGTGAGCACCCTCCCTCACTCAGCATTTCCCTCTCTCCAGGATTCTGATGAACAAGACCATCAGGAGGTGTCATACGCATAATTGGATCACTGTGTTTTCACACAGAGAAAAATCACTCGCCCTTCTGAGAGGCCCAAGACACCCCCAACAGATACCAGCATGTACATAGAACTTCCAAATGCTGAGCCCAGATCCAAAGTTGTCTTCTGTCCACGAGCACCACAGTCAGGCCTTGAGGGGATCTTCTAGGGAGACAACAGCCCTGTCTCAAAACCGGGTTGCCAGCTCCCATGTACCAGCAGCTGGAATCTGAAGGCATCAGTCTTCATCTTAGGGCATCGCTCTTCCTCACACCACGAATCTGAACATGCCTCTCTCTTGCTTACAAATGTCTAAGGTCCCCACTGCCTGCTGGAGAGAAAACACACTCCTTTGCTTAGCCCACAATTCTCCATTTCACTTGACCCCTGCCCACCTCTCCAACCTAACTGGCTTACTTCCTAGTCTACCTGAGGCTGCAATCACACTGAGGAACTCACAATTCCAAACATACAAGAGGCTGCCTCTTAACACAGCACTTAGACACGTGCTGTTCCACCTCCCTTCAGACTATCTTTCAGCCTTCTGCCAGCAGTAAAACTTATAAATTTTTTAAATAATTTCAATGTAGTTTTCCCGCCTTCAAATAAACATGTCTGCCCTCATGGTTTCGGTAACGAGACTCTTTTCTTGCCTAAGGCTTCCGGTGTTATCATTACCATGTCCACATAACCCCATCTGTTCTCCATTGGGTTCTCAGCCCTGGACTCTGAGCTTCTGGAAGCAGAATGTAGCCTGATTTGTCTCTGAGACTCCAATTTCCATCCAAAGATACAGCACATAGGAGGCTCCAAGGATCGTGAATCACATGAACAAGTGATATTCTTACTCTCTGCAGACCTGGAAAGCTGGCAGAGTCATTCCACGATGAAACATTTGTAGAGACATAGGCCTTGTTAGTCTCATCTCCACGGGGACACATATCAACATATCATCTTTCATAATATAAATATACAGTCGGTCCTCCATATCTGTGGGGTTTACAGGTGTTTATTGAACCAACAATAAATCAAAAATATTTTCAGAAAAAAATCCCCGAAGTTTCAAGAAGCAAAAAACTATGTTGAATCGACACAAATTGAGTGGCGTGTAGGCTGTGTCAGGAATTATAAGTAATCAAGAGATGATTTCATGTATACAGGAGGATGTGCATGGGTTCTATGCAATTGCTATGCTATTTTTTTTTTTTTTTGAGACAGTCTCACTCTCTCACCCAGGCTGGAGTGCAGTGGCATGATCTCAGCTCACTGCAACCTCTGCCTCCCAGGTTCAAGCGATTGTCTTCCCTCAGCCTCCCCAGTAGCCTCCCCTAGGATTACAGGCACGTGCCACCATGCACAGATAAATTTTTTTGTGTGTGTATTTTTAGTAGAGACGGGGTTTCAGAATGTTGGACCAGCTGGTCTTGAACTCCTGACCTCGTGATCTACCCAACTCAGCCTCCCAAAGTGCTGGGATTACAGGCGTGAGCCACGGTGCCCAGCTTCGCTATGCCATTTCATGCAAGGGGCTTGAGCATCTGCAGATTTTGGTATCTGAATGGGGATCCTGGAACCAATCACCCAGGAATAGTGAAGGACCACAGTATATAATTTTTATTTGTCAATCTTAAAAATAAAGCATAAAAAGTTTACAACAACAAGATAAAAAATAAGAAGTGTTTTTATAGTGTGAGGATAAGTTTAGATTTATTTTTTCCTACGTGTAACCCTATGGTCCTGTGTTATTTATTGAGAAAATATTCTATTCCACCTTAAACTACATGGCAGCCTTTGTCAACTATAAAGGGACTGTGTATCCACAGATGTATTTTAGACACAGTTTTCTGCCCAGTGGTTCTCTGTATCCCCTCTCATGAGGATGCTGCATTTCATATAAACTTATAGAACCCCTTAAAATTTGGTAACCTGAGTTCTCTGATTTGTTATTATAGGTTATTTAGTTTGCTTTTTTTTTTCTTTCTTGAGACAGACTCTTCCTCTGTCACCCAAGCTGGAGTTCAGTGGCTTGAGCTCAGCTCACTGCAGCCTCCGCCTCCCAGGTTCAAGCAATTCTCGTGCCTCAGGTTTAGTACTAGAAACTCATCAGGAAAATTAGAATGGCTTTTTGTCACAATTACTCTGATAATGTTAATAATACCTCTTAGATATTTTGCACATTACACATGAAGAAAAGTTTGAATCTCAGATAAAAACAAAAATACATCAAAAGTCTTTAATGTAAGCACAGAATTCAATCACCTCATGTGTGAGAGGTTGGATCTGAGACGTCTTTTGAGTCTGGTCATAGTGAAGGATGCAAGGTGGCAATTGTAGTCACAACAATTTCCAGGAAGCCATGTTCCGCTCTTGAGCGAGCACCCACTGGGCCTCATGCAAGGTAGAAAGAGCCTGCGTACGTCACCCTCCCATGATGTGGTCAACATGTAAACTGCATGGGCAGGGCGCCAAATAACATCCTGTGCGCTGCTGAGCTGAGCTGGGGCGCGGCCTCCTGTCTGCACCGGCAGCACCATGTCGCTCACTGTCGTCAGCATGGCGTGCGTTGGTGAGTCCTGGAAGGGAATAGAGGGAGGGAGAGTGGGGATGGAGATCTCGGCCTAGAGGTAAAGATATGGGCCTGGAGTGGAGATATGGGCCTGGAGTGGAGATATGGGCCTGGGTGTGGAGATATGGGCCTGGAGGTGTAAATATGGGCCTGGAGTGCAGATATGGGCCTGGAGGGGAGATATGGGCCTGGGTGTGGAGATATGGGCCTGGAGTGGAGATACGGGCCTGGAGTGGAGATATGGGCCTGGAGTGGAGATATGGGCCTGCAGGTGGAGATCTGGGCCTGGAGTGGAGATATGGGTCTGATGTGGAGATATGGGCCTGGAGTGGAGATATGGGCCTGGAGTGGAGATATGGGCCTAGAGGGGAGATCTGGGCCTGGAGTGGAGATATGGGTCTGATGTGGAGATATGGGCCTGGAGTGGAGATAGGGGCCTGGAGTGGAGATAGGGGCCTGGAGTGGAGATATGGGCCTGGAGTGGAGATCTGGGCCAGGAAGTGTTGATCTGGGCCTGGAGCCTGGGTCTCTCCACAGCTGAGAGCCCTGTTCTTGGCAGCAGGTAGCAGGGAGGCTAAGTTTACCTTCAGCCCAGCAAGGGCCTGGCTGCCAAGACACACAGTGCAGTGGGGGCAGCAGGGTGCCCTGGTTTGCCTGCAGTTGGATCGTCTATCATGATCTTTCTTTCCAGGGTTCTTCTTGCTGCAGGGGGCCTGGCCACTCATGGGTGAGTCCTTCCCCAAACCTTAGGGTGTCATCTCCCCACATAAGAGGATTTTTCTGAAACAGGAGGGAAGTCCTGTCGGGGAGTCTCTCATAAACTAGGAAGAGGGGACCCTTGGATACTCGGCCCACATTTCTGACCTCGCCCTCCCCGGCCTTTCTTTCCCTTTCCTGAGTCAAGCTCTGTGAAGACTGGGGTGAGACTGGGGTGCTCCAAGCTGGGGTGTGCAGGGAGGAAGTGGTGTCAGCAGCAGAGAAAGAGAGGGAAGCAGTGCTAGGAACAGCAGGTCCTCTGAGGACAAAGGTATAACTGACACCCTCCAGCGTTTCCGTGACGGTAGGGGCTGCAGTGTGGCTGCGGTCTTTCTACCAGAAGAGGGGGGAAACCACAGCCATGGCCCTGACATTCCAAATCCTCTGAGGGGGCTCAGTTCATGAATTGGCTGATATTCCATTCACATAGGACATGCCCTCCATGCCGTGTCTACTTTGTGTTGTTTTATGTGAGTAATTTTGCAGTATTAAAATCTAGTAAGAGTCACTTATTCAGCACTTGCTCAAAGTTCTCAGCTGACACTTGTTGTAGGGAGACGCCATGTCTATGTGGGGTGGGTCCTTCCTGTAGCCCTGGGCACCCAGGTGTGGTAGGAGCCTTAGAAAGCGGAAATGGGAGAATCTTCTGAGCACAGGGAGGGAGGGGTGGCTCCACATCCTCCTCTCTAAGGCAGTGCCTCCTTCTCCCCCAGGTGGTCAGGACAAACCCTTCCTGTCTGCCCGGCCCAGCACTGTGGTGCCTCGAGGAGGACACGTGGCTCTTCAGTGTCACTATCGTCGTGGGTTTAACAATTTCATGCTGTACAAAGAAGACAGAAGCCACGTTCCCATCTTCCACGGCAGAATATTCCAGGAGAGCTTCATCATGGGCCCTGTGACCCCAGCACATGCAGGGACCTACAGATGTCGGGGTTCACGCCCACACTCCCTCACTGGGTGGTCGGCACCCAGCAACCCCCTGGTGATCATGGTCACAGGTCAGAGGCTTTCTGTCTGGGCTTCTCACTGTCCCACCTCCTGAATCCCAGAGCTTCTGGTGGGGGTGTCCATCAGGGTCCCATCACCCAGGCCCCAACTGTATTTGGGGTCAAGGGAGATTGAATACAGGGGAAATGGGCGCTGTGGTGGGAAGAATAACTGTCGCCAATGATGGCTACATTGTAAACCCTGGAGCCTGTGACTATTTATGTTATAGGGCAGGGGACTGAAGGGGAAGGTGGAGCTCAGGTTGTTGATGAGTTGACCTTGAGATGGGGAGACAGCCTGGACTGTCCTGCTGGGCTCAGTGTAATCACAAGGGTCCGCGTGAGAGGTGGAGGAAGAGGGGAGTGGGGATTAGAGCAGTGTAGTGGGAGGGAGACGCTATCAGCCACTGTGGGCTTTGAAGGTGGAGGAAGGCCACTAGTCACAGAATGCAGGTGGCCTCTAAGGGCTGGAGAAGTCAAGAGAACTGATTCGCTGAGTCTCCAGAGGGAACGCAGCCCTGCAGATGCCTTGATTTCAGCACAGGGAGAACTGGATCCAATTTCTGTCCCCAGAAGTGGAAGGGGTCAGTGTGTTCTCTCCTGCTGCCATGTTTGTGATAATTTTCTGCAGCAGCAACAGGAAACCGACACAGGAACCCAGGTCAAGGACAAGCTAGGAAACCAAACAAGGATAGCCAGGTGTGGTGGTGGGCACGAGTAATCCAACGACTGGGGAGGCTGAGGCAAGAGAATCACTTGAACCGGGGAGGCAGAGGTTGCAGTGAGCCAAGACAACACCACTGCACTCCAGCCTGGGTGAAAAAGTGACTGTCTCAAAAATAAATTAATTAATCAATTAATTAAAGAAACCAAACAAGGAGAAGGTTGGCTACCGTGGGATCAGCAAGGGTGGGATGCTGATGCCACCACCAGGCTCCATCCACATAGGAAGGGGTTGATGCTCCTGGAACCAGCACCAGGGACCACCCTATGGAAGCTGGGGCCATGGAGAAGGCACAGACATGGCAGGAGAGGCTCCCAATCCCCATCAGGAACAGGGTGTGTGGACACTGATGTCTGCCTTACTGATGAGTTGATACCTCTGCCAGAGACTCCAATTTGTTCAAAAGAGATTGATTCAGGCTGCTGAGAGCCTGGACATGCAGCCTGTCCTCTTCCACCCTCACATAGACAGCAGGAAAGAGACTAGTGGGAAAGAGATACAACAGCCCAAGAGATGAGGCTCTCTTCACAGTGGGAAGGGAGTCAGGGGCTACTGGAGACAGAGGGACAGAGAAGAGGGAGGAAGACAAATGGAGGGACCTGCACCAGGGGATATGGGCACAGAAAAGACACGGAGACACAGAGAGGGAGGAGAGAGACAGACCTCTGGGAGGGGAACCCTCACTCATTCCAGGTGCCATGGATGGGATGATAAAGAGAGATGCCTTCTAAACTCACAACTTCTCTTTCTAGGAAACCACAGAAAACCTTCCCTCCTGGCCCACCCAGGGCCCCTGCTGAAATCAGGAGAGACAGTCATCCTGCAATGTTGGTCAGATGTCATGTTTGAGCACTTCTTTCTGCACAGAGATGGGATCTCTGAGGACCCCTCACGCCTCGTTGGACAGATCCATGATGGGGTCTCCAAGGCCAACTTCTCCATCGGTCCCTTGATGCCTGTCCTTGCAGGAACCTACAGATGTTATGGTTCTGTTCCTCACTCCCCCTATCAGTTGTCAGCTCCCAGTGACCCCCTGGACATCGTGATCACAGGTGAGAGTGTCCAGACATTCTTCTCATTGTCATTGGGACACAGAGTGAATGATCCAGGACTTGGAACCCCCAGGTGGTCATGAGGAAGATAAGCGTGGGATTCTTATGGAGAGAGACTGACTCGGTGAGGTCTGTACCAACAGAGACAGGGAAACAGGAGACATAAGTACAGACCAGGTGTCATAACAGAGGACAGACACAGGGGCCATACGGGGAAGTAGAAAAGAGAGAAAGAGGTAAAGGAGACACTCAGACAGACAGACATGTGCCAGAGAGAAGTGTCCTTCCATGCTGACTTTGCTCAGAGACCTGGCACAGGTTAGAAGTTTCATTTCTGTTTTGTCTCCACAAAGTGCTTCTACGAGGAGAACCCAAGGACACCCATATTTCTGACCTGAGTTGGGCCCTGTGGCCTCAGGCCTTGTGGCATCTACAGATGCCATGTTTATTCTGACACCTCTGCCTTCCATGCAGTGGAGCCATAATTATCCCAGGATATCATGGCCCCAGAACACCAACCCCTAAATACTGTGTGTACTTGGTGTCCCCAGACTAGATTCTGAGGCTCATATTCCAAATAATCCTACATATAATAGGATCACTGAGAGACACAGAGATAAATCAGGGACTTCAAAAAGCAAAGGCATAAACACACAGAGAATGAGCCAGAGGAAGGGGATTGAGAGACTCACAGACACACAAAAAGAAAGAAAAGAGGGCAGAGGAGTGGAGAGAATGCTGGAAGGGAGGAGAGAAAAGCCCCAAAATCAGAACCCTGAGGGAGGGGCACAAAGACAGAGAAAGATAAAGATGTGGGGATGGATTGCAGAGATTCCAAATAGAACTAGAGAGACTGAGAGGCAGAGAAAGACAAGGAGATGGAGAGAGACAGATGATAGATGGATAGATAGATATAGATAGATGATAAATAGGTAGATGATAGATAATGGATAGGTTATAGATACATAGATGATGATTGATAGATGATACATAGAGATGATGATGATGATGATGATGAAGATAGATAGATAGAAGACACATATATAAATATATAGATACATAGATGATACATAGAGACTGACAGGCAGACAGAGAGGTAATAGAGAGAGAGAGAGATGATACATAGATACAGATAATACATAGATGATTGATGGATAGACAGATAGACAATTGATAGATAAATGATACATAGATATAGATGACAGATAATTTGTAGATAGACACAAAATAGATAGATAGATAATAGATAGAAATATGCAGAAAGTTATGAACAAGACAGAAAGTGAGAGACTCAGAATTATAGAAAAAGGAAGATCAAGTCAACCAATCCAAGGAGAGTCAGAGAGAATAAAACAATCCAAAAAGGGAAAGCATACCCAGGGGTGGGGAAGTGAGGTCAGAGACCTAGAGAGACAGAGAAGGCGGAAGGAGGAAATAGACATGAAGAGAGTTGGGGTGGAGGGTGAGAGAGAGAGAGAGCATTAGGTCATAGAGCAGGGGAGTGAGTTCTCAGCTCAGGTATGAGGGGAGCTGTGACAAGGAAGAACCTCCCTGAGGAAACTGCCTCTTCTCCTTCCAGGTCTATATGAGAAACCTTCTCTCTCAGCCCAGCCGGGCCCCACGGTTCAGGCAGGAGAGAACGTGACCTTGTCCTGTAGCTCCTGGAGCTCCTATGACATCTACCATCTGTCCAGGGAAGGGGAGGCCCATGAACGTAGGCTCCGTGCAGTGCCCAAGGTCAACAGAACATTCCAGGCAGACTTTCCTCTGGGCCCTGCCACCCACGGAGGGACCTACAGATGCTTCGGCTCTTTCCGTGCCCTGCCCTGCGTGTGGTCAAACTCAAGTGACCCACTGCTTGTTTCTGTCACAGGTGAGGAAAACCCGTGTCTGTCCCATGTCTTATGATCCTAGAGCCATAGCTGAGGAGCTTCCTGCCGATGATGGGGAGAAGCATGGACAGATGCAGAGAGAACACGAAGACTGGGTGTGAGGGGGGGGTCAGGGTGCAGGATGGCAGACAGGGCACCTCCAAACCCTCTTGCATGGCCTGCATGGAGGCCCATGGTCAGGGCTCCAGGCACCCAGGCAGATGGAGAAAGCGGTCAGGACAGACCCAGAGAAGGGGAGACTGGGCTCAGTTTGGGGAGATCAGAGGTTCCCTCAGCCCCTCAACCTTACCCATTTCCCAGAAGCCCATCCTGGCCTCTCACCCACACAGAGAGATGTCATCACCAGCAACCCCTACACTCTTTTCTTTTCATTTTCAAAAATATTTATTGAGGTTAAATGTAACTATATAATTTACCAACTTTACCATTTTTAAAAGTAAAATCTAGTGGTCATAAATACCTTTATATGCTGGGTGTGGTGGTTCACGGTTGTAATCTTGGCGCTTTGAGAGGCCAAGAAAGGTGGATCATTTAAGATCAGGGACTCGAGATCAGCCTGGCCAACATGCGGGAAATTCATCTTTACTAAACAGACAAGAAAAATTAGCCAAGCATGCCGGCATGCACCTGTAGTCCTAGCTACTTGGGAGGCTGAGGCAGGAGAAGCACTTAAAGCCAGGAGGCAGAGGTTGCACTGAGCCGAGATCATGCCACTGCACTGCAGCCTGGGAGACAGAGAGAGACTCTGTTTCTAAATAAATAAATACATCTATATTCTTTTTTTTGTTACCCTCCACCCTTCCCTTCCTGGCCTCTGGTATCCACCATTCTATTCTCTACCTTCATGAGATCCACCTTTTATCTCCTGCATGTGGTGAGAAATGGGAATCTTTGTAATGACCTCGAGTTCCATCCATGTGGCTGCAAATGACAGGATGTTATTGTTTCTATGGATGAGTAGTCTCCACCGTGTGTGTGTACTACAGTTCTCTATCCATTCACCCACTGATAGGCAGGTAGGTTGACTCCACATCTTGGCTACTGTGAACAGTGCTGGAACAGTCATATGAGTGCAGATATCACTTCGATACACTGATGTCCTTTCCTTTGGATATAAACCCAGTAGTGAAATTGCTGGACACTATGAAAGTTCTCTTTTTTTTTTTTTCTTTTTTGAGAAAGAGTTTCCCTCCTTAGTCCAAGCTGGAGTCAAAGTGGTGCGATCTTGGCTCATTGCAACCTCTGCTTCCTAGGTTCAAACGATTCTCCTGACTCAGCCTCCCTAGTAGCTGTGATTACAGGTGCACGCCACCATGCCTGACTAATTCTTGTATTTTTTAGCACAGACGGGATATCCCAATTTTGGGCAGGCTGCTCTCAAACTCCTGACCTCAAGTGAGGTGCCTGCCTCGGTTTCCCAAAGTGCTGAAGTTACAGGCATAAGCCACTATGCCCAGCCTGCTTTTAGTTTTTTAAAGATTTTCCATACTTTTCTCCATAATAGTTGTACTAATTTACATTCCTACCAACAGGGTACCAGGGTTCTCCTTTCTCTACCATCTTGCCAGCATTTGTTTTGCCTGTCTTGCAGATAAAAGCCATTTTACTTTACTTTATTTATTTATTTATTTATGTTGAGATGGAGTTTCACTCATAGTCGCCCAGGCTGGAGTGCAAGGGTGTGATCTCGGCTCACTGCAACCTCTGCCTCCCGCGTTCAACTGATTCTCCTGCCTCAGCCTCCAAAGTAGCTGGGATTACAGGCATGTGCCACCACGCCTAGCTAATTTTTGTATGTTTAGTAGAGAGGGAGTTTCTCCATGTTGGTCAGGCTGGTCTCCCGACCTCAGGTGATCCGCCCACCTCCGCCTCCCAAAGTGCTGGAATTACAGGCGTGAGCCACCGGCCTAAAAGGCATTTTAATGGGATGAGATGAAAACTCATCGCGATTGTAATTTACATTTCTGTGATGATGAGTGATGCTGAGCACTTTTTCATATACGTGATCGCCATTTCTATGTTTTGTTTGTGGAGAAATGTCTCCTCATGTCTTTTGCTCGTTTTTTAATTAAATTGTTTTATTGAGTTGTTTGAGCTTCTTATATTTCCAGTTATTAATCCCATCTCAGATGAATAGTTTGCAAATATTTGCTCCTATTTTGTGGGTTGTCTCTTCACTTTGTTGGTTTATCTTTGGTGGTGCAGAAGTTGCTTGGTTTGATGTAATCCTAATGGTCTATTTTTTGCTTTGATTACTTGTGTTTTGAAGGTTTTAAACAAAATGTCTTTCGTCAGACAAATGTCTTCCCCATTATTTTCTTCTACATGTTTCATAGGTTCAGGCCTTAGACTCATGTTTTTAATCCATTTTCATTTGATTTTTGTGTAAGGTGACAGGTATAGATGCAGTTTTATTCCTCTGCATGTAGATATCCAGTTTTCCCCACACCATTTATTGAAGACTGTCCTTTCCTGATTGTAAGTTCTCGGCACCTTTGTCAAAGTCCATTAAATGGGCTGGGTATGGTGGCTCACACCTGCAATTCCAGCACTTTGGGAGGCCGAGGCGGGTGGATCACCTAAAGCCAGGAGTTCAAGACCAGGCTGGCCAACAGAGTGAAACCTCGTCTCTACTAAAAATACAAAAATTAGCTGAGCATGGTGATCAGTGCCTGTAATACCACTACTCAGGAGTTTGAAGCAAGAGAATTTCTTGAATCCAGGAAGTGGAGGTTGCATTGAGCTGAGATTGCACCTCTACACTCCAGCCTGCATGACAGAGCAAGATTCTATCACACACACACAAAAGAAAGCCATTGGATGTAAATGCATGGATTATATCTGTGTTCTCCATTCTGTTCCATTTTTTATGTGCCTTTCTTTATGCCAATGTCATGCTGTTTTGCTTACTACAGCTCTGTAACATATTTCTAAGTCAGGTAGTGTGATGCTCCTGTTTTCTCTTTATACCTTCAAGTCTCAAGACAGTGGGCATCGCACACAAAAATTATGGAGAAAAGGATCCCAAGACTCCCAGGGTCCAACATTAGATAACAGAGTGTTGGCCATGAACCAACCTCAAAGATTTCCATTGAGTAGAGGACAAGCACCCTCATTTCCTCACATCTCTCCTGTCCCGTGTTCTAGGAAACCCTTCAAGTAGTTGGCCTTCACCCACAGAACCAAGCTCCAAATCTGGTGAGTAAAGGACCCCTCTTATCTCTGCTTTTGGAAACCTGGGGAGGTGGAAGCCTTGGATGCAAGTGTTGGCTCAAACCTCCCAGCTCTGTGAATGAGGGCCTGTCTTCCACCATCTCTGAACTCCAGACACTCCAACAGTGAAAGGGATCTAGGGCCACCAAAGGGCTCAGCGAAGTCTCTTTACCTTTAATTTCCTGCAGGTGAGACCTCCTACAAGCTAGAAGAATAATTGCCAATCTGACATCCTTCTCAGGAAAAATGCAGTGTTTTTTCTGCCTGCATTCCTAACTGGAGGATAAATTCCCGGGGGCTTGAGAGAGGGAAGGGAAGGGAACATCTGATGAGGGTGGGTGTTTTAGAGAAGTTCCACTTGCCAAGGAATGAATTACTGTTGGTCATCAGGCAACCCTGGCTGACTCAGCAGAGCAAGAGCCTTGCCGTAACAGAGAACAGAGCTCATGCACGCACACTTCGACTCACTGACTCATTCAGCCACGGCCCCATGCTCAGGCTGTGCAGTGTGGAAGCTTTTCCTATTGTTGCCATAACAAATTTCCACAAGATTCGTGGGTGAAAACAAAACGGTTATTTAATTATCTTACAGTGCTGTAGCTCAAAGCATGACGTGCATGTCACTGGGCTAAAATCAAGGTGACAGCAAGGCTGCCTTCCCTCTGAGGGTTCCAGGCAAGAATCTGCTTCTCACTTTTCTCAGCTTCTAGAGGCTCCCATGTTCCTTGGCTCCTGGTACCCTTCCTCCTTCCTCAAAGCCCACAAAGACTGGTCACATCTCACATGGCATCACTCAGACCCTTCTTCCTTACCACACCTCTTTCTCTGAATGCTGCTCTCCCTTCTTGCCCTTCTTTTGAAAACTTGGGGATTCTATTGGGTTCACCAAGATGAAAATCCATCATAATCTCCCGGAAATCATCCAGGATACCCTCCTTTTAAGTTCAGCTGACTAGCAACCATAATTCCATCTGCAATCTTCATTCCTCCTTTCATGTAAAATAACATATTCACAAGCTATGGAGGCTAGGACATGGACATTTTTGGGGTGGGACAACATTCTCCTGCCTTCCACAAACAGTGAACAAGATGCATTTGGCCTCTGTTCTTGGGACACTGATCTTGCAGATGGTTAAATGGGAGGGCAGAAAATGTAGGCACAAGGGGACCAATAAATGAATGATCTATTGAGAAGCATCTGTGCATGAAATCTATTTATTTATGTATTTACCTACTTGTTTATTGAGACGGAGCCTTGCTCTGTCGTCCAGGCTAGAGTGCAGTGGCATGATCTCGGCTCACTGCAACCTCCACCTCCTGGGCTGAACTGATCTCCTCCCTCAGCCTCTCCAGTAGCTGGGATTACAGACCACAACCACCACGCCCGGCTAACTCTTTTTGCATATTTTCTGTAGAGAGGATGTTTCACCATGTTGGCCAGGCTGGTCTCAAATTCCCAACCTCAGGTGATCCAATAGCCTCTGCCTCCCAACACGCTGGGATAAGAGGCATGAGCCACGGGGCCAAGCCAAATTTTCAAATCAATAATAGATAATGCTGAGTGTATGATTTCAGGTGACAGAGAAGTTCTCACTAATCAGATATTTGTGACATTAATGAAAAACACGGATTGAACCCCTGGAAGATTGGCAGAAGGATTTTCCACACAGCTGTCAGCCGTGAAGGCACAAAGGTGAAAACAATCTGATGTGGAAGGAAGAGGCTCTGCCTGAAATGCCGGGAATGAGATGGGGAGAATGACAAGACGACTGTGGAGAGACGGAGAGCACACTGGGTACACAGGAAACTAAGGAGCAACAAGGAGTGTGTGTTTGACACTCACAGCCCTTGGATTCACCTCGGGGTAACCAGGAATCCCTACATGATTAATATGACTGACATGAAAATAAGGGAGGCTCAGGTGCATAACTGGAATCTAGGAGACCGTGGAAAAGGCAATTGCCGCCCCACTGGTGAAATGTGGTGCTGATTTAGACACTAAATGAATGAAGTAGATGGATATAAGATATGTTTGTGAGGTAGAATCATTGACTGGAAACGCTTACTGGGTTTAATTTTTCCTGGTAGTTTAATCCTCGCTTCACTAACTTATTTCTGAGATTTATTTCTCCTGCATCTAAATCAATACCTGGCAGAGGAGGGAGAGCTAGATGAGGGGTGGTGCAAATGAAGGGACCTAGTATAGCATAATATACAAGGCTGTGAACGGTGGCTCACGCCTGTAACCCAGCACTTCAGGAGGCCAACGCGGGTGGATCACATGAAGTCAGGAGTTCGAGACCAGCCTGGCCAACATGGAGAAACCCTATCTCTACTAAAAATACAAAAATTAAACAGGCATGATGGTGGTGCATGACTGTAATCCCAGCTACTCTGGAGGAGGAAGCAGGAGAATGACTTCAGCCCTGGAGGCAGAGGTTGCAGTGAGTGGAGATCGCATCACTGCACACCAGCCTGGGCTACACAGGGATACTCTGTCTCAAAAAATAAAAATAAAAAATACATAAATATAATAATATACACAAATGATGCAGGCACCTGAATTCCAATCATCATTTTTCTATTCCTCTATAATTACTTCTTTGATCCTTTATCTTATCCATTAGAAAATCAGCCTAAAACCTCTTCCATATTTGGCTTTCTGTGAACATGAGATCATATGGAAAATATGAAAGCCCCCTGAACCCACCAGCACAGGCCCTGAAATAGGGAAAGTGCTCTGTTCATCACAAGAAACTTTCCCCCTCACCCAAATCCCCCACCTCACCCCTACTTCCAATCACCTGTGGAGATACAGATAGATCATGGGGAGGTAAACGCTAATACTCCTTGGAGTGAGTTCAGATCTTGGAATCAGAGATCAGCACCAGCACTAGCTCCTGCTCCCCTTTCCTACTAATTCACAGGAGGACAGGTGGTTTTGAAGCAATAGATGGTGGAGGGGGTGGTCTTTCCCCCAGCCTCTCAGGTGGAACAGCAGCCTAACATGTGTCTCGCGAGATCACAAAGAGTAGCACGTTTCACATGGGCTTCATCATTATTTCCTGGCTGTTTGACATAAGAGAATTCTACTTTGCTTTTTTGATCTTGATTTCACTTTTGTGTCCTTTTCTTGGAGAATGTAATTTGAGTCAAGAGGGTTGTGGATGTAGAAACTGTAAAGCACATTCACTGTGTATCAATCCCAGTCCAGTCTTTCCAGAGAAGACTCTAAACACCTGCTGTACTGCACCTGGGCCTATGCCAATTTCTATCACTCACCGTCACTCCAGGGAGACAGAACACACAGAGAATACGTTACATAGGCAGGTTCATTACTAACAGATAAGCAGCGAGTGACAACAGAAGCCTACATTTCAACGTGAGCCAGTCCCTCAAGGCTCAGAAAAGCTGCTCGGGACATATGGAGTCACCTCATTTGCAGTGTATCTGGGGGAAGCCAGAAAATAGCCCAGCCTGGGTTTTGTACCCTGAAGCCACAGGAAGCACTCAGCTAAAGCACTGCATGACGTCCTCCTCCAGGAAGAACAGGAAGACAGCACAGGCTGTTCTGAGACGTTCCTCCTGATCTCAGGACGTTGCTGTCTTAGTCCATTTTTGTTGCTATAAAAGAACACTTGAGCCTGGGTTACTTCTTTTTTTTTTTTTTTTTTTTTTGTATAGTGCTTCTGATGAGCTTTTTTTTAAAATTTTTATTATTATTATACTTTAAGTTTTAGGGTACATGTGCACAATGTGCAGGTTAGTTACATATGTATACATGTGCCATGCTGGTGTGCTGCACCCATCAACTCGTCATTTAGCATTAGGTATATCTCCTAATGCTATCCCTCCCCCCTCCCCCCACCCCACAACAGTCCCCAGAGTGTGATGTTCCCCTTCCTGTGTCCATGTGTTCTCATTGTTCAATTCCCACCTATAAGTGAGAACATGCGGTGTTTGGATTTTTGTCCTTGTGATAGTCTACTGAGAATGATGATTTCCAATTTCATCCATGTCCCTGCAAAGGACATGAACTCATCATTTTTTATGGCTGCATAGTATTCCATGGTGTATATGTGCCACATTTTCTTCATCCAGTCTATCATTGTTGGACATTTGGGTTGGTTCCAAGTCTTTGCTATTGTGAATAGTGCCACAATAAACATACGTGTCCATGTGTCTTTATAGCAGCATGATTTATAGTCCTTTGGGTTTATACCCAGTAATGGGATGGCTGGGTCAAATGGTATTTCAAGCTCTAGATCCCTGAGGAATCGCCACACTGACTTCCACAATGGTTGAACTAGTTTACAGTCCCACCAACAGTGTAAAAGTGTTCCTATTTCTCCACATCCTCTCCAGCACCTGTTGTTTCCCGACTTTTTAATGATCGCCATTCTAACTGGTGTGAGATGGTATCTCATTGTGGTTTTGATTTGCATTTCTCTGATGGCCAGTCATGGTGAGCATTTTTTCATGTGTTTTTTGGCTGCATAAATGTCTTCTTTTGAGAAGTGTCTGTTCATGTCCTTTGCCCACTTTTTGATAGGATTGTTTGTTTTTTTCTTGTAAATTTGTTTGAGTTCATTGTAGATTCTGGATATTAGCCCTTTGTCAGATGAGTAGGTTGCGAAAATTTTCTCCCATTTTGTAGGTTGTCTGTTCACTCTGATGGTAGTTTCTTTTGCTGTGCAGAAGCTCTTTAGTTTAATTAGATCCCGTTTGTCAATTTTGGCTTTTGTTGCCGTTGCTTTTGGTGTTTTAGACATGAAGTCCTTGTCCATGCCTATGTCCTGAATGGTAATGCCTAGGTTTTCTTCTAGGGTTTTTATGGTTTTAGGTCTAACGTTTAAGTCTTTAATCCATCTCAAATTAATTTTTGTATAAGGTGTAAGGAAGGGATCCAGTTTCAGCTTTCTACCTATGGCTAGCCAGTTTTCCCAGCACCATTTATTAAATAGGGAATCCTTTCCCCATTGCTTGTTTTTCTCAGGTTTGTCAAAGATCACATAGTTGTAGATATGTGGCATTATTTCTGAGGGCTCTATTCTGTTCCATTGATCTATATCTCTGTTTTGGTACCAGTACCATGCTGTTTTGGTTACTGTAGCCTTGTAGTATAGTTTGAAGTCAGGCAGCATGATGCCTCCAGCTTTGTTCTTTTGGCTTAGGATTGACTTGGCAATGCAGGCTCTTTTTTGATTCCATATGAACTTTAAGGTAGTTTTTTCCAATTCTGTGAAGAAAGTCATTGGTAGCTTGATGGGGATGGCATTGAATCTATAAATTACCTTGGGCAGTATGGCCATTTTCACGATCTTGATTCTTCCTACCCATGAGCATGGAATGTTCTTCCATTTGTTTGTATCCTCTTTTATTTCATTGAGCAGTGGTTTGTAGTTCTCCTTGAAGAGGTCCTTCATATCCCTTGTAAGTTGGATTCCTAGGTATTTTATTCTCTTTGAAGCAATTGTGAATGGGAGTTCACTCATGATTTGGCTCTCTGTTTGTCTGTTATTGGTGTATAAGAATGCTTGTGATTTTTGTACATTGATTCTGTATCCTGAGACTTTGTAGAAGCTGCTTATCAGCTTAAGGAGATTTTGGGCTGAGACAATGGGGTTTTCTATATATACAATCATGTCATCTGCAAACAGGGACAATTTGACTTCCTCTTTTCCTAATTGAATACCCTTTATTTCCTTCTCCTGCCTAATTGCCCTGGCCAGAACTTCCAACACTATGTTGAATAGGAGTGGTGAAAGAGGGCATCCCTGTCTTGTGCCAGTTTTCAAAGGGAATGCTTCCAGTTTTTGCCCATTCAGTATGATACTGGCTGTGGGTTTGTTATAGATGGCTCTTATTATTTTGAGATACGTCCCATCAATGCCTAATTTATTGAGAGTTTTTAGCATGAAGCGTTGTTGAATTTTGTCAAAGGCCTTTTCTGCATCTATTGAGATAATCGTCCGGTTTTTGTCTTTGGTTCTGTTTATATGATGGATTACATTTATTGATTTGCATATATTGAACCAGCCTTGCATCCCAGAGCCTGGGCAACTTCTAGAGAAAACAGATTTGTTTGCCTCACAGTTCTGCAGGCTGTACTGGAAGCATGGCACCAGCATCTGTTTCCTGTGACGGCCTCAGGCTGCTCCCACTCTGGCAGAAGGGAAGGAGGGTCTGTCTGTGCAGAGACCACAGAGATCACATGGCAAGAGAGGGAGCAAGGGGGAGGGCGAGCGATGGAGCTTCCAAGCTCTTTTTAACAACCAGCCCTCCGGGAACTAATAGAGGGGGAACTTGCTAACCCCATCATGTGGGGCAGCATTAATCTATTCATGATGGATCCACCTCCATGACTCAAACACCTTCCCATAGGCCCAAACTTCCACACTGGGGGTTAAATTTCAATATTTCAGTGTGAGGTTTCAAAGGGTCAAACATCTAAACTAAAGCAGCTGTATCCTCAGCATGTTCTATGGTTTCTATGAGAGCTGTAACTGAGAAAGCAGGAGAAAGCTGGGTCTCCCGCCATCAGGCTGCTTGTCCTAAGGAGATGTTCCATGTGGTTACCTGTCAATCAAGAAATGAGACAATCCATAAAGAGGAACTGCTATGATTAGCTTCTTATTGGATTCCCATCTTCCTCCAGGTATCTGCAGACACCTGCATGTTCTGATTGGGACCTCAGTGGTCATCTTCCTCTTCATCCTCCTCCTCTTCTTTCTCCTTTATCGCTGGTGCTCCAACAAAAAGAGTAAGTCTCACGAAGCAGAGGCCAGAGAGCTCAGGGCCATGTGGGGAAGCAGGATGGGAGCACGCGGGTGTGTGTTCCTCACTGGCAGGATGGTCCCTGGCCCAAGGGAGGAGCCACAGAGGCAGGGCTTTCTAGAGAGAGCACCAGACAACCTGCCCCTGCCTTCAGCTCACAGACCATTGCCTGGTTCTGAACTGTATCCTCACATCCCCTGCAGCCACTGACATCCAGAAGCTTCCATGACAGGCAGAAAGTGGGAGACAGAATCAATGGGATGCCAATTGAGAGCACTTCATGGGATGGGGTCTTGAACTCAGAGAGATAGAATGTCTGAGTCTGGATGTTGGCAGCTGAAGAGCCTCAGGCACCTACAGCCTCCCCCTGTGGGTTGGTGTCTGCCCATGAAATGAGGACCCAGAAGGGCCCTCCAAGCGGTTTTGATGACTTCCGTCTCCTACAGATGCTGCTGTAATGGACCAAGAGCCTGCGGGGGACAGAACAGTGAATAGGCAGGTAGGTCCTCCTCGGCCCAGCCTCACGGATACAGTCTTATCCCTAATAGTCCTGAAAAATGTGAGCACCCTCCCTCACTCAGCATTTCCCTCTCTCCAGGACTCTGATGAACAAGACCCTCAGGAGGTGACGTACGCACAGTTGGATCACTGCGTTTTCATACAGAGAAAAATCAGTCGCCCTTCTCAGAGGCCCAAGACACCCCTAACAGATACCAGCGTGTACACGGAACTTCCAAATGCTGAGCCCAGATCCAAAGTTGTCTCCTGCCCACGAGCACCACAGTCAGGTCTTGAGGGGGTTTTCTAGGGAGACAACAGCCCTGTCTCAAAACCAGGTTGCCAGATCCAATGAACCAGCAGCTGGAATCTGAAGGCATCAGTCTGCATCTTAGGGGATCGCTCTTCCTCACACCACGAATCTGAACATGCCTCTCTCTTGCTTACAAATGCCTAAGGTCGCCACTGCCTGCTGCAGAGAAAACACACTCCTTTGCTTAGCCCACAAGTATCTATTTCACTTGACCCCTGCCCACCTCTCCAACCTAACTGGCTTACTTCCTAGTCCTACTTGAGGCTGCAATCACACTGAGGAACTCACAATTCCAAACATACAAGAGGCTCCCTCTTAACACGGCACTTACACACTTGCTGTTCCACCTTCCCTCATGCTGTTCCACCTCCCCTCAGACTATCTTTCAGCCTTCTGTCATCAGTAAAATTTATAAATTTTTTTTATAACTTCAGTGTAGCTCTCTCCTCTTCAAATAAACATGTCTGCCCTCATGGTTTCGATAATGTGACTCTTTATTCGCCAAAAGTTTCCAGTGTTATCATTACTATGTCCATATAACCTGATATGTTCTCTACTGGGTTCTCAGCCCTGGACTCTGAGCTTCTGGAAGCAGGGTGGAGCCTCATTTGTCTCTGGGACTCCAATTTCCATCCAAAGATGCAGCACATAGGAGGTTCCAAGGATCGTGAATCACATGAACAAGTGATATTCTTACTCTCTGCAGACCTGGAAAGCTGGCAGAGTCATTCCAAGATGAAACATTTGTAGAGTCATAGGCCTTGTTAGTCTCATCTCCACAGGGACACATGTCAACACATCATCTTTCATACTATAAATATACAGTCGCTCCTCCATATCTGTGGGGTTTACAGGTGTTTATTGAACCAAATATAAATCAAAAATATTCAGAGAAAAAATCCACAAAGTTCCAAAAAGCAAAAATACTATATTGTGTGGACACAAGTGAGGTGGTGTGTAGGCTGTATCAGGAATTATAAGTAATCTAGAGATGATTTCATGTATACAGGAGGATGTGCATGGGTTATATGCAAACGCTGTGCCATTTCATGCAACAGGCTTGAGCATCTGCAGATTTTGGTGTCTGGTAGGGAGGGGGGTTTCCTGGAACCAATCACCCATGAATAGTGAAGGACAACTGTATATAATTTTCATTCATCAATTTTATAAATAAATCATCAAAATGTATGATAATAAGATAAAAAATTAGCAGTGTTTTTATGGTGTGAAAATAAGCTTAGATTTATTTTTTCCTGCTTGTAACCCTCTGGTCCAATGTTATTTACTGAGAAGACATTCTATTCCACCTTAATCCGCATGGCAGCCTCTGTCAACTATAAAAGGACTGTGTGTACACAGATGTATTTTACACACTCTTTTCTGCTCAGTGGCTCTCTGTGTCCACTCTCATGAGGATGCTGCACTTTATGTGGCCTTATAGAACCCCTTAAAATTTGGCAGCCTGAATCCTCTAATTTCTCCTTCCTCTTTAAGATTGCCATTATTATTATTATTGGCTATTTGCTTTTCCATGTAAATTTGTAATCATTTTTCTCATTTCCACCAAAAACAATGCTTGTAATTTTGTTGTGACTCCCTTACATCTACAGGTAAGTTCTGTCCTATAGAAACATAATGCAAACCACATGCATTCTTTCAAACTTGCTAGTATCCAAATTAAAAAGCTAACAAGAAACAGATAAAATTAATTTAAGTTAACCCAATGGACCCAAAATATTATTAACCCAACAGACCCAAAATATTAACCTAATAGATCCAAAATATTATTTTATTATACAAGTAGACTCAAAATATTATCATTTCAACATGTAATCATGTGTCATCTTGGAAAACATCAGATCCCTGTCTAGGTGGGCAAAGATTTTTCTTCGTAATATCTCATTTCCACATTTCCACTTGGCACAGAAACTGCCCCCAAGGCTCAGGATACTAAGATGCAGTAGGAATGGGTAGATGTATCTGGAGGAAAGTGACTGAATGAAATTGAGACATCAGAGTCTGGGAAACTCACTAGAACTACAGGGACAGTGTGGGGGAGGGAATTGGGAGATGTTGATCAAAGGATACAAACTATCAGGTATTCAGGAGGAATGGGTCTGAAGATCTCTTGTACAGCTTTGCCACTATGGTTGACAATACTGTACTCTATACTTGAAATTTACCAGGAAAGTAGATTTTTTTTTTTAAATATGGAACACTTCACGAATTTGCGTGTCATTCTTGCGCAGGGGCCATGCTAGTTTTCTCTGTATCGTTCCAATTTTAGTATATGTGCTGCCGAGGCAAGCATGGGAGAGTAGA